>NC_000010.11:54688549-54840064 GCF_000001405.40 Homo sapiens
TTGAAAAATACATAGGATTAATATTGAAAATATCAGAATATGCTTAAACAAGTATGCTTACATAGGTTTTCTCCTTTCATCTCAGTTTGAAAATCTAGCCATGTAAAATCAGTTTCTAGTTACCAGTGATTCACAGATAAGCTTCACCCATTAAAATTTCCATTCCTACTTAAGAATCACAAAGAAGTTAAACCCCAAAAGCAGCATCTCAAAATCAACTCTGAAAGGCAATTACTTTTTCAATAAGTAAAATTCATGAGGAAAATTTGTCACTGCATTAGCAAGTTGTCTCTCCATAGAATAAAGAACCAAAGCTTTACTTGTTCATTGTGTATGAGAAGATCAGGATCAGTCAGTTAATGCTTGTGTTGAGAACATTTATAATGTCAAAATAAGGTTAATAATCCTAAAAATTAGATAACTTAATAAAGCAACATTAGACTACCTAAAAATTCCAATGCTCAAAAAGTAATTCAATATTTTTAGATATGCTAAATTGGGTATCTGCTTTCTCAGTAACGTTTCCAAAATACCTATCTTCTCTTCACATTCAATTTTTCTTTCTTACTACAACTCTTTAGCCACAACTACATAAACCTTAAAATAAAATTTTCTGATATTATTATTAATATATATGTCCACATAGGTAGATAAAATGGCTATAAAATAGGTAATTTTTAAAGTTTATGAGCTAAGTGATGCTAACAGAAGCAATTCTACAAATACATATGCAAAGTGTATTATTCATTTAAAACAATTAACACAAAGCACTCTTTTTTGGATATGGTAACTACCAAAGTCAAAAAAACAAAGAGCTGAAATATTATGTAAATTGTTCACAGAAACTGTTGATCTCCAAACCAGTCAATTATTATCACGGCTTGAATGTTATATAAAATGGTAGAAAAATTCTTGATCAACACTTACATTTTGCCTCTGACTACTTTCCTCATTAACTTACCAGCCATGAAAAGCACTGTGCAAAAGTCAGCAATTAGGGACTGAATAAAGTTTTAAGTGGATCAATATAACATATTTGGCATATCTATGACACTTCTATTAACATTCATCAATTTATGAAATAACGACATTAAGTAATTGTGTTCATCCCAAAAACCCAAATATCAAATACTATTTGCATGACTGTGTTATACATAGAGCAGAAGGCAGTGAAGACATGATCTTTGCTTTTGTCACCTATGAAGACAAATATATTGAGTCACCTATGAATACAATATATTGGAGTGTGCTCTATAAGACAAGTAGATGCCAACTCCTACTGGTCTTGGAGAAAATGTAAATAATTCTATTGGATGGGAGCAGCAAAGTAGGTAGCAATTTCACAGAATGGGTGGTATTGGGGCATGTTCTTGAAGGAATGAGAGGTCATCAAACAGACAAAAACGTTTTGAACATAGGTTATAAGCAATAAAGAAACTGTGGAGTTGCAAAAAATACAGCATGATCAAGAAATTGTATAGTCATGTGCCACTTAACAATGTTTCTGTTAATAATGGACCACATATATGAGGTGATCCCTTAAGATTGGAATGGAGCTGAAAAATGTCTATCTTCTGTTGACACTGTAGCTGTCATAACATTATAACACAACGCATTACTCATGTGTTTGTGGTAATGCTGGTGTTAACCTACTGCACTGCCAGTGTATAAAAATACAGCATATGCAATTATATATAGTACATAATACTCAATAATGTTAATAAACACCATATTACTGGTTTGTGTATTTACAAGACTACCTTTTTTTTTTTTTTTTTTGAGATGGAGTCTTGCTCTGTTGCCAGGCTGGGCTGGAGTGCAGTGGCACCATCTCGGCTCACTGTAACGTCTGCCTCCTGAGTTCAAGTGATTCTCCTGCCTCAGTCTCCCGAGTAGCTGGGACTACAGGAGCACGCCACCACTTCCAGCTAATTTTTGTATTTTTAGTAGAGATGGGGTTTCACCATGTTGGCCAGGCTTGTCTCGATCTCCTGACCTTGTGATCCACCCACCTCAACTTCCCAAAGTGCTGGGATTACAGGCATGAGCCACCATGGCCAGCCACAAGACTATATTTTTTATAGTTATTTTAGAGTATACTTCTCCTACTTATTAACCAGAGTATTTGAATTTTGCATTTTAAGCTGTGGGGAGTTGCTAAACCAGTAATAACTATAATAAGAATATCAACTAACGTTTGTCAGTACTGTTAATATCATTCACCAACTTTTAAAATCACCTATTATATTTGAAACTGTTTATTATCTCAGTGTCCCTAGAAAAGCAAGTACTGCATTAGGTGCATAAGAAGATGACCATCATTGAAGGTCAATGAGCAAAATGTCCAATTTTTTTCTCAACTTGGCTGAATATGAGACAGAGGAGTTCCTCTGAGCAGGTGAGTTATGTAGCTTATGACTTACAAATGATCCCTAAAAACTTCTTATATGGTATGGTGTAAATGAAAGTACAAAATAATTTATGACAGTACGTAGCAGAACAAAAGAGGAAAATATGTTTTAATTATCAATTAAAAATTACCTCCAAACTTCAAATATGAAAACCCACAAATAAATTGCATCTCTATTGAAATAGCACAGGCACTTCATGGTTTAGATTTGTAGAAATGTCTCTGAAAACTCTGTATTTCCTACTTTTATGTTTGTTTATATTTAGGAGCAGCCTACACATAATTTGGCTCACTTAAAAGACTTTCTTAATGAGTAGTAATCTACATAGTTCCTTGCTGCTTTATTTTTTAGATTGGGCTGGGGAAGTCAATAACCACTAGAAACTCTCAAACCAAGAAATTCTCCTGAAGCAATCTTTCAGCTGTAAACCACCTCAGCTAGGAACCCATTGTATTCCTATAAATTTCCTTCAGTATTCCTAAGACTAAACTAATCTGAACCTCATGACTGACAATGAGTTGAGAATGACCTTTTGCACCAGTGCATTAATTGTGAAAGCTTTCTGCAGCAGGAGCTAGGAAATTACTCTTCTGAGTACAGCAGCCAGAGCACTGAAATGGCTCTGGCTGCTGTACTCAGAGGAGTATTTTGAATGGCAATGCTTAACTCTTCAGCCACACATCGTCTACATTTTTATATTTTACAGACATTTTAGATGTGTCCATCATCCTCCAAGGAAATTGGATTTCTGAATAAGAAATTTCTTTTCACCCTGTGATTTCTACATGATACTTATAGAAACAGTTTGACAGCTTTGGAGAGGATATCCTATGCTTCATGTAGACTTTCTGCTTACGGAGTTTAACACACTCATAAATTTAGCTTTACTGACTTTACAATCTTTTATATGAGAACAGAAAAGTCAGCAAATTTGGAAATAGAAAGTTTATGTTCCGCCACATATAAAGTATGCCAAGTAATACTTTGGCCACTTCACAAGGAAGAAAAGGATATATATCCAAATTTATATAACATTCAAGAAAATCTTTAATTATATTCCAGAGCTGATAATTTAAAATTTATCTTCAATAATTTTATTTGTTTCCAAACTACCTGCTGCTGAGAGGAAAATAAGAATATGCAATTTGAAGGCATGGCTTGTAGTGTATCATAGCTCTATTTATTATATTATTATATTCATCTACATACACTGAACTGAAATTGTAGAGTTCATTTATCATTTAGATCAACTTTTAAGAAGATATATTTCCAATTCTTACCTGTCCATCTCAAATTGAGCTCACTATATTCACTTTATGTATAAATGGTATGTATACATAAGCAAAATATAAATACAAGCAGTGATATATTTATTGCACTTTGTATCTTAAACTAGTATACGTTTGCTTCCAGCAGTATTTTGATTTTACTGCAATTCAGATATTCTGATTATCTTTTACCTAAACTTTAACAATCAAAACAACTTATCAGTCATCTAACTTTAAACTTCCTCTGAAATCATAGTCTTTGTACACGAAATCTAACTGGGGTTAAATGTTCTTCTTGTTCTCTCTGATTGAGCCTTCCCTGGGACATCTCATGCATAGAAAAGAGTTCACAAATAAAAATCGGTTAGAGCTGTGATTCAGTTTACATAAGATCTAGAAATATAAGTTCCATAACTTCTAAACGAAGTCATATCCTTAAGCCATTCTTAAACTTAAAAGCGAATAACTCCAAACATCCCTGATTGAATAACTCAAAATAATAAGCTCATCAATCTGATAGGAATGTCAATCTCAGATACATTGCCAAGAAAATGAAAATGATGTAGTAAAGATTAAATGAGAAAATGATGCCACATACTTAGCATAAATGCAAACACAAAATAAATACTCAAGTAAATAAAACCATTCTTTTTTTAAATGTATTCTAAAACAACAACAATAACAACAACAACCACAACAACAAAACAGGATACAGGTGCAGAACGTGCAGGTTCGTTACATAGGTATACGTGTGCCATGGTGGATTGCTGCACCTATGACCTGTCCTCCAAGTTCCCTCCCCTCATACCCTACCCCGCAACAGGCCCTCGTGTGTATTGTTCCCCTCTCTCTGTCTATGTGTTCTCATTGTAGAGTAACTCCCACTTATGAGTGAGAACATGTGGTATTTGGTTTTCTGTTCCTGTGTCAGCCATAAAAAGAAATAAAACCATTCTTAGGATGATATTTCTCCTTACCCTTCTCTTTTTACACCGAGAAGAATTATCACTTTGACAACTGACGCTCTCTTTCTTTCTTTCCTGAAAGTAAGTTACACTGTAACTTATATGAGTAAATGAGCCCTTTATATGAAGCTTAACATTTAAATTCTAAAGGATTCTTAAACACATGTGTAACAACACCATGTGTTAGTTAATCCTATCATAATATATCATGTTCATATATTAGATTAATACAATTAATCACATTCTAAATTGACAACATTTTCTGAGATCTTGGTTTCTTAATATTTGCAGTAGAAACAAATATTTTTTCTCACCCTTGAGAATTAAAAGTGAAGCAGAAACTTTAGAGTCATGTTAAGTTGCTGACTATCTAACTTGGTTTCTGAATGATAAAGTAGACTCTAATGGTGATTGCTTTTTCAGTAACAACTTTCAGTAATATTTGTATTTTTCTATCACACCTTTCCCTGAAGAAGAAATGCTTTCAGATGAATAGGGAAAGACTCTCTAAGTATAGGTTTGAGTTTTAGAATTGGCTAGATTGGAGAGTTTTAGATGGAAGAGGGAGGTATCAATCAAGTACAGAAGTTAATGCTACAATAATTACTTGGGAAAATTCTCACACTTCAGTGATTGCCAATCAGCCTGCACTACTTACTGAGTGAAATGTCTATGGTTATCAGAAATCGTACAAGAAAAAACCAAACCGAAACAAAAAATAGTGTAGTTCTTTTTTTCTCAACGAAGTATATTTAAGAGCATTAATTTAGATCCAACTAGGCCTAGGTTTGAGCACAGGATTTTCCACTGTGATTAACTTAAACTCTCTTGTTTGAAGTTGTCTCACCTATAAAATTTGGGACAATTGTGGTAATTCCAGAATGAAAATAAAATGATGTACATACATCATTTAGTATATTAAAAATTCTCAATAAGAATTGATTTTTCTGTTAATACGATTATAATATAATTTGAGGCTACAACTAAAGAATGAAATGAATAGAAATGTAAACAGAATGGTCACTTTTGAAAGGGCTTATTCTGTTTAGAAGAATGTATAGACATGATCAAATAAATGTTCAGATAAATTTATAGAGATGTCAAATAATAACTGCAAATTGTGCAATTCAACTAAAATGTCGAGAGACAATGAGACAAATACCTTTTTTATTCAAGTTTTAAGAAAAATTACTGAAGTTTAGAAAATCTATGGAATAAATAGAACAATACAGGCATACCTTGTTTTGCTGCTCTTTGCTTTATTTCACTCCACAAATATTCCAATTTTTACAAATTGAAGTTTTGTGGCAACCTGGTGTCCAACAAATCTATCGGCATTGTTTTTCCAATAGCATGTGCTCACTTCATGTCTCTGTGTCTATGTTTTGGAAATTATCATAATATTTCAAACTTTATTATTATTATTATTTGTTATAGAGATCAGCGGTCTTTGAGATCAACTACTATTGTAGTTGATTTGGGCCACCACAAACCAGGTCCATAGAAGATGATAAACTTAACTGATACATGTTGAATGTGTTATGACTGCTCCACCCACTTCAGCTTCCCTGTTTCCAGAGGCACACAATATTCAAATTAGGCCAACTAATAATTGTACAGTGGTCTCTAAGTGTTCAAATGAAAGGAGGAGTCCCAGGCCTCTCATTTTTAATCACAAGCTAAAAATAAATAAGCTTAGTGAGAAAGGCATGTTGAAAGCCCAGAGGCCAAAAGCTAGGCCTCAAGCACCAAACAGCCAACTTGTGAATGCAAAGGAAAAGTTCTTGAGGGAAACTCAAAAAGTGCTACTTCAGTGAGCACATGAATGATAAGAAAACAAAACAGTCACACACCAGGGCCTGTTGTGGGGTAGGGGGAGGGGGAGGGGGAAGGGATAACATTAGGAGATATAACTAATGTTAAATGATGAGTTAATGGGTGCAGCACACCAACATGGCACACGTATACATATGTAACAAACCTGCACGTTGTGCACATGTACCCTAAAACTTAAAGTATAAACAAAACAAAACAAAACAGTCTGATTGTGGATATAGAGAAAGTGTTACTGGTTTGGATAGAAAATCAA
Organism: Homo sapiens; assembly: GCF_000001405.40. Lineage (NCBI taxonomy): Eukaryota > Metazoa > Chordata > Mammalia > Primates > Hominidae > Homo > Homo sapiens. The sequence continues at coordinate 54,695,283 of NC_000010.11, forward strand.
ACCAACCACAACATTCCCTTAAACCAAAGCCTAATCCAGAACAAGGCCTTAACTCTCTTAAATTCTGTGAAAACTGAGAGAGGACAGGAAGCTGCAGATGTTTGAAGTTAGCAGAGGTTGTTTATAACATTTAATGAAAGAAGTCATCTCCATAACATAAAAGTGTAAGATGAAGTAGCAAGTGTTAATGGGTAAGCTATAGCAACTTATCTGGAAAATTTAGCTAAGATCATTGTTGAAGGTGGCTACACTGAACAAGAGATTTTTAATATAGATGAAAATACCTTCTATGGAAGGATGCCGTGTAAAACTTTCATAACTAGAGAGAAGTCAATGCCTGGCTTCAAAGCATCAAAGTACAGGCTGACTATCTTGTTATGGATGAATGTAGGTGGTGACTTTAAGTTGAGGCTGATACTTACTGACCATTCTGAAAATCGGAGGGTTGTTAAGATTATGCCAAGTCTACTATAACTGTGCTCTATGAATGGAATAACAAAGCCTGGATAACAGCCCATATATTTACAAGATAGATATGAATATTAATTTTTTCCATTGGGGCTTCAAATGAATATTTAAGCCCCAATGGAAAAAAAAAGATTATTTTCAAAGTATCACTGCTCATTGACAATGCACCTAGTCACCCATAAGCTCTGATGGAGATGTACAGGGAGATCAGTGTTGCTGTGATGCCTGCCAGCACAACATCCATTCTACAGCCCATGGATCAAGGAGTAATTTTGACATTCAAGTTTTATTATTTAAGAAATACATTTCACAAGACTATAGCTGGCATAGGTAGCAATTCTTCTTATGTATCTGGGCAAAGTAAATTGAAGACCTTCCATTCTAGATGCCATTAAGAACATTTATAAATTATAGGAGGAGATCAAATAACAACTTTATCAGGAGTTTGGAAGAAGTTGATTCCAACACTCATGAATGACTTCGAGAGGTTAAGACTTCAGTGTAGATAATACCTACAGATGTGGTAGAAATTGCAAGGGAACTAGAATTAGAAGTGGAGCCTAAATATATGACTGAATTGCTGCAATCTCATGATAAAATATACACAAATGAGCAACTGTTTTGTGTGGATGAATACAAAAAAAGTGGTTTCTTGAGATAAAATCTATTCCTGGTGAAGATGCCATGAACTCCATTGAAATGACAACAAAGAATTTAGAATATTACATAAGTTTAGTTGACAAAGCAGTGGCAGGTTTTGAGAGGACTGACTCCCATTTTGAAAACATTTCTACTGAGGGTTAAATGCTATCAAACAGCACTGAAATCTATGGGGAAATCTTTCATGAAAGAAGAAAAGTAGCACTGGCAGTTGAAAGTTAAAAGCTTCCCATTTCTGATCAAAAAGATTCTTTCAAATCAGAAAATAAATGAAAAAAAAAACCGCCCTATTTTTGTATTTTAATTTCCACCCTAAATTTCTACTTCGAGCTTTATTTTAGCATGCCCATTCCTTAGGTTTCCTTTTGTTTTGAATAATACTTCCATAGCTATCCTGAAAACTTTTAACAAGTTAAAGTAAAATGATGTGATTATAAGTTAAGTCATTGCAGGGATGGATGTTTTTATCTATGTATGTGTATTTTTCCCCAACATCTCCCCTGACCATCAGGCTGTCATCTTATAGGATACAGTGGAAATTTACGTTTCTTTTAGAGATGGTGTATCACTATGTTGCCCAGACTGGACTCAGATTCCTGGGGATCAAGCACTCCTTGGCCTCCTGTGTAGCTGGGATTACAAATGCACATCACTGAACCCAGCTAGTGCCAATTTTTGAAGATATTATTGTTATTATGTCTTTGCAGAAATAAAGTTATTTTATTTATTTGTAGTTACTACAGAAGAAATGACTTTGATAGATAAAAAATAGTAACAAATTTCAAATAGAATGGAAAGAGTAAATTATCTAAAATATCAGAAATAACTTGTTTTAGCTTATATATACTTGATAGTTTAAAAAATATTTTTCTCTCAAAGTAGCATACTATATTTCTGTTGTGAAATTATTTAGTTCACATATCATGATCTTTTAAACTTATTTTATTTACAGGTATATCTGCATATAAATTTAAATCTTCATGTTGAAAATACATGATTACCTGAGAACACAGTTTAATTTATTTAAAACAGTTACATTATGTTAGACTTATATTTTGTTTTTATTTTTTCATTATGTATATCGCTATGCTTATTGAAATGTGTGTATATATATATATATATATACCTCTTTACATGCTTGCAATAGTTAACCTCTGCAGAAATGTTTATGCTTATTTTTGCTTATTCCATTTATGGTCAGAGAGAGAGAGAGAAAAGGAAGGAAGGAAGGAAGGAAGGAAGGAAGGAAGGGGAAGGGGGAAGGGGAAGGGAGGAAGGGAGGAAGGGAGGAAGGGAGGGAGGAAGGGAGGAAGGAAGTAAGGAAGAGGCAAGGAAGGCAAGGAAGGCCGGCAGGAAGGAAGAAAAGCAGGAAGGGATGGAGGGAGAGTGAAAAAAAGAAAAAGAAAAGAAAAAATAGCCAGGAAGACTGTTCTTACATAAAAACGTTCTCACCTATTGGTTATTTCTTACTCTAACAGGCACTTACGATACTATTTAGGCCACCTGCTAAGTTCTGTATACAGTGGCATCTGTACATTCCCTTCTTATCATTGGTAGAGAGACTCCTAAATCAATACTCATCCTGAGAGTGAGCTTTAATATAGTATGGGTGGTATTTATAAGTAATGAAGCAGTCAAGAGGAGAAACAAGTCCATGTTTATCTGAAATGACTATCTTCTCATTCAATGCAGTTACAGCCACCTACAGAAAGGGAAAATCATCCAAACAGAATTTAAGAAAGAAAGTTTACATTCGCTTGACTGGAAATCACAGGCAAATTGCTTTGTTGGCATGGGATAAATGAAAGTTAAACACGTTTGGATATTAGGAGAGACAAGCTAATTTGAAGTATTGGAATTAAAAAATTAAGTACATAGATTTCTTGAAACAATCACTCACAGATACAGTGACATGGGTTTGCTCAAAGAATAGAGAAGACTGGCACATTTTGACAGAATGTTGCCTTGGGTTTATTATTTGCATCAGATCTGCTCAATAGTTTAGTGCTGTATAGATTCTGTGTTTAGAAGGATTCCGAGGGTGTCTGTTGCTGAGCAGAGAAAAAGCTACACACTATTTGCTATATCAGCCAGGGGAAATGGAATGAGATGAGATATTTGTCATTCATGTGGTAGTGCAAAGATCTGCAGCTGTGCTGCCTTACAGAACCTGGTTTTCCACCCTCTACATCATTTCAAAACTATATAAATTTGATCAATTACTTAACCTTTTTAATTCTCTATTTTCAATTTTATCACTTGTAAAATGAAGATAATAACAGCTACCCTGATTACCTACAGTGAATTTAGAGGTCATAGATAAATGTTCTAACATTATGCCTGGCACATGATAGCCAACATTTACCTAGTGCCTTCTATTATCATGATTTCTTCCCTGACAACTGAGCCACTTTTTATCTTTAGAAGGCACCATTTTTTAACTATTGCCAGTGTCATTTGTGTAAAAGTTTCTTAGTAAAGCAGTCTTTGATAATGATTATGACTTTTCTGTGTCCTCAAGAAGGGTTCCTTGACTTATATAATAAATTCTTCTTTGTCTTTCACATTTAAAAGGGAAAGTCAATATTAATCAAATGAGTGTGTTCATAAAAGTAATGTCCTCCTCTTCGGAAGAGGAAAAACAGCATTGGTTTACCCAAAATCTGTTTCTGTGCTTAGAATAAAGATCTAGTGTCTGAAATCATAATGGCATTCTAACAAAGGATTAAACAAATAACTTCAGAAAACATAATACACCTTAATGATATTTCAAAGTATTTATCAATGTTATTGTCAACTTTGAAAGGTGAGAATTTTGTAACATGATTTGACAATGCTTAACTACAGGTTTTATGTAAAAAAAAAACTAGTCACTTACATGTTCCTCAAATTATTAGTTCATATGTTACGGAAGAAAATGTTTGCCACATTTCTGAATAAAAGTCATCAAAATATTGTGATCTAGATGTCATGTAAACTGAATTACCAAGACCCTATCTTAAGTGACTCTATCAAGACCCATAACCAGAAGTAACAAAATCTCTGAAGGAAAGGATTTCTGCATGTTTTCAATATGACAGAAAATTATTTTTTATTGTTCTATGATGATAATGATGGCAATGCAGTCCCACCTCACTTTTGAAACCAGACTTCAGTGTTTCTCTGAATACTTTTAAGTGTGGCCAACAGCAAAGTGGCTGAAGTAGTAGGATTGAAGACTGTTAGCCTTAAGGACAAAAATGGTAATATAATTTTCATCATACTATAATTTTACCTAATATTCCTTATATTGAATGTCAGGAGAAATATATTCATATATATTATTTCCATTAATGCATTTTAATAACATATTTAGAATGTTACATTATTTAGCATCTCAGTAGCAATAAATAGTTTTTTATTTCTTTATCTTTTTAACACTTTGTAAAGAAAATACATTTTACTGGTAAGTTATGCATTGCATAGGGGAAAACAAATGGACAAAATGAACATATGAAAATCAGCTATGCCTTAATGATTATATTTTATGTATTTTAAATATAGTATTCCTAAATCTATTTTACAAATGATGCTCAGTAAAATCCTTAACCTCTCCATTGCAGCAGGTTCCCAGCATGAAGGGGCTAAACTAACAAAGCTAGGGGCCTGGCATTAGCCCCCCAGAGTTACTGCAAGCAGGCCTGGAGTACTAAACTAATCTTTGGCCCCCTGAGATCTTCCAGAGACAAAGTCAATCGACTGAACCCACCATATTCCTCTATCAAACTCCCAAGGGAATCAAAGAAGATAAAAGCAAATACCTTATCCAAAGGGCAGCAACTTCCAAGATTGAAGGAACATCTGCCCACACAGATTAGAATGTACCAGCATGAGAACTCTGGACGCTAAAAAATCCAGGGTGATCATCCTCCAGATGATCATGCTAGTTCCCCAGCAATGGTTCTTAACCAGGCTGAAATGACCGAAATGCCAGAAACAGAATTAAGAATATTGATAGGGATGAAGATTACTGAGATTCAAGAGAAACTCAAAACCCAATCCAAGGAGTCTAAGGAATACAATACAACAATACAAGAACTGAAAGACAAAATAGCCATTTTAAGAAAAAACAAAGCTGATCTGATAGAGCTGAAAAACTCACTTCAATAATTTCAAAATACAATTGCAAGTATCAACGCAAAATCAACCAAGTGGAGCAAAGAATCTCAGAGGTTAAGTCTGGTACTACAAATTAATTGTCATACAAAAATAAAGAAAAAAGAATAAAGAATGGACAAAACCTTTGAGAACTATGGGATTATGTAAAAAGACCAAATCTCTGGCTCCTTGGCATCCCTATAGGAGAAAGAGTAAGAAAGAAAGCAAGTTGGAAACCATATTTTGGGATATAGGCCATGAAAATTCTCCAACCTCACCCAAGGGCCAACACTTAAATTCAGAAAATACAGAGAACCCCTGTGAGATACTATACAAGGTGGCCATCCCCAAGAAATGTAGCCGGAAGATTCTCCTAGGTCAAAATGAAAGAAAAAATGTTAAATGCTGCTAGAAAGAGGCAGCAAGTCACCTACAAAGGCAACTACATCAGGCAAACAGTGGATCTTTTAGAAGAAACCCTAAAAGCCTGAAGAGATTAGGGGCCTATATTCAGTATATTTTTTAAGTGATAATGCTTCAGATTTCTTCCTACATAATTAGAAAAAATAATCACAACAAATTGGAGAGGAAATACAATAACCTTAAAGATAATCTGGGTCTTATCTAATTCCAACCAAAAATTTCATATCTAGCCAAACTAAGTTTCATAAGTGAAAGAGATTAAGATTCTTTTCAGATAAGCAAATGTTAAGGAAATTTGTTAGCACGTGACCTGCCTTAAAAGAGGTCCTTAAAGGAGTGTTAAATATGGAAAGGAAAGACTGTTACAAGACATTATAAAAACACACTTTAGTACATAAATCGACATTCTAAAGCAACTACACAATCAAGTCTGCATAATGGCCAGCTAAAAACATGATTAAAGGATCATATCTGCACATATCAGTATTAACCTTGAATGTAAATGAGCTAAATAACCTAATTAAAAGGCATAGAGTGGCATGCTGAATAAAGAAGAAAGACCCAACTGTATGCTGTCTTCAAGAGAACTATTTCACAAGCAATGACACACAGAATCTCAAATTAAAGGGATGGAGAAAAATCAATCAGACAAACAGAAAAGAGAAAAAAGCATGGGTTGCTATTTTAATTTAAGAAAAAACAGAGTTTAAACACACAAGCAATTAAAAAGACAAAGAAGAGCATTACATAATTGTAAAAGTTTCAATTCAACAAGAAATCCCAGCTATCCTAAATATATACATGCCCAACACAGGGGCATCCAGATTTATAAAACAAGCTCTTAGAGACCTACAAAGAGACTTAGATAACCACACACCAGTAGTGGGAGACTTCCAACAGCCCACTGACAGTATTAGACAGATAATCAAGGCAGAAAATTAACAAATATATTTGGAACCTGAACTTGACACTTAGCCAAATGGACCTAACAGACATAGACAGAACTTTCCACCAAAAAACAACATAATATACATTCTTCTCATCTGTACATGACACATACTATATAATCAACCACACAATCACCCATAAGACAATCCTCAGCATATGCAACAAAATTGAAATCATACCAACTGCACTGTCAGACCACAGCACAATAAAAATGTAAATCAATACTAAGAAGATCACTCAAAATCATACAAATACATCAAAATGAAAAAAGCTACTCCTGGATTACAATGTGGGTAAACAATGAGATTAAGGCAGAAATCAAGGAATTATTTGAAATGAATAACAAAGATACAACACATCAGAATCTCTAGGACACAGCTAAAGCAGTGTTAAACAAAAATAAACAAACCCTAAAGCTAGCAGAAGACAACAAAAAACCAGAGTCAGATCTGAACTGAATGAAATAAATTAAGACCTGAAAACCATACAAAAGATCAACAAATTTAGTGGTTGTTTCTTTGAAAAAATAAATAAGATTGATAAGTAGGCTACTGAAAAATAAAGGTCTGAATATCCACAATCAGAAATGACAAAGGGGACATTACTTCCAATTCCACAGAAATACAAAAAAAAAAAAAAACCTTCAAGTAATATTACAAACATGTCTATGCACACAAACTAGAAAACCTAGAAAAACTGATAAATTCCTGGAAATACAACCTTGCAAGATTGAACTAGGAAGAAATTGCAACCCTGAACAGAGAAATAATGAGTTCCAAAATTAAATAAGTAATACAACGCCTACCAACCAGCAAAAGGCTTGGACCAGATATATCCACAGCTGAATTCTACCAGATGTATAAAGAAGAGCTGCATCATTTCTGCTGAAACTATTCCAAAAACATTGAGAAGGAGCAACTCCTCCTCACTGATTCTATGAGTCATGCATCATTCTGATATCAAAACCTGGCAGAACACAACAACAATAACAACAAAAGAAAACTTCAAGCCAGTATTCTTGATGGACATAAATCCAAAAATCCTCAGAAACAAACAAACAAACAAAAACTAGCAAACCAAATCCAGCAGCATTCTAAAAGCTCATTCACCATGATCAAGTAGGCTTTATCCCTGTGATGCAAGGTTGGTTCAACATATGCAAAGTTAGTAAATATGATTCACCACATCAACATAATTCACAACAAATCCACATGATCATCTCAATAGATGCAGAAAAGTCTGTTGATAAAATTCAGCAGCCCTTGAGGTTAAAAACCTCCACCAAATAAGGCATTGAGTAAACATACCACAAAATAGTAAGAGCCGTCTATGACAAACCCACCGGAAATATCATACTGAATGAGCAAAAGCAGGAAGTGTCCCCTGCTGAGAACCAGAGGAAGAAAAGAATGCCCACTCCTACCATTCCTATTTAACATAGTACTTCAAGTCCTAGCCAGAGCAATAAGGCAAGGGAAAAAAAATAAAAATATACAAATAGGAAGAGAGGAAGTCAAACTGTCTCTATGTGCAGATTATATGATTCTATATGTAGGAAACCCCATAGTCTCTGCCCAAAAGCACCTAGATCTGATAAACAAATTCAGAAAAGTTTTAGAATACAAAATCAATGTACAAAAATCAGTAGCATTTCTATACACTAACAACATCCAAGATGAGAGCCAAATCAAGAAGGTAATTGCTTTCACAATAGTCACAAAAACGTAAAATACCTAAAAATATAGTTAACCAGGGAGGCAAAAGGTACCTATAATGAGAATTACAAAACATTGAGGAAATAAATCAGAAATAACATAACGGGAAAAACATTCCATACTCATATATAGCAAGAATCAATACTGTAAAAAGTGCAATACTTCCCAAAGCAATTTAAAAGAACAAAGCTGGAGGCATCACATTACCTAACTTCAAACTACAGTGTAAGGCTGCAATAACCAAAACAGCATGGTATTGGTAAAAAAGCAGACACATAGACCAATGGGACAGAATAGACAACCCAGAAATAAAGCCACACACCCCTACAACCATCTGCTCTTAGACAAAATTGACAAACAAGCAATGGTGAAACAATTCAGTGTTCAACAAATGGAGCTGGGGTAACTGGCTAGCCATGTGCAGAAGATTGAAATTGGACTCATTCTATTCACCACATACAAAAATCAACTCAAGATGAATTAAATACTTCAATATAAAACTCAAAACTTTAGAAACCCTAGAAGATAACCCAAGAAATACCATTCTGGACATAGGCAAAATTTTACAATGAAGATGCCAAAAGCAATTGCAACCAAAACAAAAATTGACAACCGGGACATAATTTAACTAAAGAACTTCTGCATAGTACATGAAACTATCAAGTGTAAACAGACTTTGATAGTTTGAACTTCTGCATAGTACATGAAACTATCAAGTGTAAACAGACTTTGATAGTGTAAACCTACAGAATGGGAGAGAATATTTGCAAATTGTGCCTCTGACAAAGGTCTAATATCCGGAATTTCTAAGGAACTTAAATTAAGAAGCAAAACAAACAAACAAAAACCACACAAATAAACAACCCATTAAAAACTGGGCAAAAGACATGCAGAGACACTTTCAGAAAGAAGACATACATGCAGCTAACAAGCATGTGAAAAACGCTCATTATCACTAATTATTAGAGAAATGTGAATAAAAATCACAATGAGATACCATCTTACATCAATCAGAATGGTTATTATTAAAAAGTCAAAATAACAGATGCCTGCATGGTTGCAAAGAAAAGGAACACTTATACCTTGCTGGTGGGAATGTAAGTTGATTAAGCCATTGTGGAAAGCAGTTTGGAGATTTCTCAAAAAACTTAAAACAGAACTACCATTTGGTTCAACAATCCCATTAATTGAGCACATTCCCAAAGAAATATAAATCATTCTACCATAAAGGCACATGCATGAGTATGTTCATTGTAGCACTATTCACAATATCAAAGACATGGAATCAATCAAAATGCCCATCAGTAGTGGACTGGATAAAGAAAATGCAGCACTTATGCAGCATGTCATATTACACAGCCATAAAAACAGAACAAGATTATGTCCTTTGCAACAACATTGATGAATGTCATTGTTCTAAGTGAACTAATGAAGGAACAGAAAACCAAACACTGCATGTTCTCACTTATAAGTAGGAGCTAAACTTTGAGTACTCATGGACACAAATAAGGGATTCAGAGACACTGATGCCTACTTGAGAGTTTAGGGTAAGGATTGAAAAACTACTTATCAGCTACTATAATTATTACCTTGGGTATGAAATAATCTGTACATTGCACCCCCATGACACCTAATTTACTTATATAACAAACCTGCATGTGTACCTATGAACCTAAAATAATTAAAAAAAATACATGCTAAGATTAATCCATATCAGTTATTTCCAGAACTGTCATTTGAATGTGGTAGAGATATAATTAATATAATTGAAAGAATAGTTAGAATGCCTGGGTTCAAATTATGGCTCCATCACTTGTTAGATATGCAATTTTGTGCAGTTTATCTCATCTCCCCAAACCTCAATTTCATCACATATAAAATATTTTAAGCGTAATATTTCATAGGTTGTACTTCTTGATCTATAATCAGTTTTTACAACCTTTTGAATTTGTTTATGACATAAGTGACCATAGCACCACTATTATCCATACCATGAGTTGTTCTACAAAAAGTGCATAGAGACCATTTTCTTCTAGAACAGTGATTTGACTATAATAGATTATCATGAACATTTTAAGCTTTATCTGATTTGAAGAATATTTACTTTCTCAAATATTACTTAATATTTACTGGCTCTTGGTCAGGTGGCATGGATTCACATTTTGATTCTATCATTCACTACTGCATAAGTCTGATAGTTTTACTCAAATTATAGGTGATTATAGACAGGTATCTGATGATGGATTTTTTTCAAAAATTTCTGAACAGTATTGATAGATGTGGTATCAACGGTACAGTGAAACTTGCCATTTCTCTTTCTCAGAGAGTGGAGATTAGGCATCTTAAAAAGAGAAGAGCATATTGAGAGGTAAACAGCATAATTACTCTTAACAGTGAGCCAGATATTTTGAATGCTCAGATGTATAAAGCTGAGTCTCATCCAACTAAATATGAATGGTTGTCTGCCTTAGCAGAGTATTTTAATCACATTCATCACCTCCAGAGTAATGCTGATTACAAGGAACTCCATTAAAATAAAATGCATTTGATATTCCAAATAGTTTTCATGATAGTATGGCTGAAATATGTACATTTAAATTATCTTTAATATAGAAAACAAACTGATCTTTCTAACTTCCAAGTCAATACACAACTTACCATCCCCACTTTTAGCTATAACTCAACCCTAGAAAAGTACTGTTAGAAATCAAATATAAAGTAAAAATGAGTGTATTGGGTTTCATGTTATTTAGTCAATTATAGGGCTAATAGGCCTATAAGAATTTAAATTGCATTGAAAACTTGAAGAAATATGACATGCAGAGATTATCCTAGTAGATAAAATTCCTTAGATGGTATGGGATAGTAATATAAATTTTTAGAATTATTTCCATGTTTCCTACTTTAAGTTTTACACCTACCATACCTGGAGAATAGGATATGTAGGTATTTGAAGACTTAACCACAGGAAATGGGGGCGAGGAAGACATATTTTAATTTATTTTTTCAATACGGTGTCTCGCTCTGTTGCCCAGGCTGTAGTGCAGTGGCGCGATCTCGGCTCATTGCAACGTCCGCCTCCCAGGTTCAAACGATCCTCGTGCCTCAACCTCCTGAGTAGCTGGGACTACCAGTGCATGCCACCATGCCCGGCTATTTTTTGTATTTTTACTAGAGACGGGTTTCACCATGTGGGCCAAGCTGGTCTCACACTCCTGACCTTAGTGATCTTCCCACCTTGGCCTCCCAAAGTGCTGGGATTACAGGCATGAGCCATGGCGCCCAGCCAGAAAGACACATTTTAAATCTTAGAAAATAAGATGCAGGAAATCCTGTTGAGAACATAGAAGCAATCTTCATGATGTTATACAGACCTACTTCTCTAATATAATTCTAATAGGGTTTACACATGTTAATAGTAAGAGATGTGGAACACTGTAGCTGTACTTGGTATACTCCTAGAGGCTGACCTCTATAGGTAATAAATGAAACTGGACCATGGACTACTTACCTAAGCTACAGAACCTAGAGTAAATTGAGGTGGTAGGCTTGCCTGATCAGCCCCAAAGAAGGGTCAGAGAAATTAAGTAAGACTCAACTGACAAAATTTGTTGCAAACTCCAGGGACAGTAAAGTTTCTTAGGAAAAATGAGTAGTACATCATGCAACAGTAACTTAGTACTATAGATACCACTGTTCTTGCCCAGGTCCATATAAAATTGAGAGGAAAGGAGTCTAAATAAATCATATTTTGATATATTTTCCATTGGAAGTAACTTGCTGGTATAGAAACTTGAAATTTGAAACAACTACTTCTGTCCAGTTTGCCATTTGCAACAGCTACCAAGACTTTATTCTCAGAAGTTACAAAAATAACAAATGGAGACTAAATAAATACACAAATAATAAAATAATTAAAATAGTAAAAATAAAGCAGCATGTAGATTTAAGATTCCTGAAAATACACAGCCTATCTGACTTTTTGAAGCCTGCATTTATTTCAAAATAATACAAGGTCTTTCACCAGTACCAAAACTGTTTTGGGACAGTATTCTGTGATTCTCACTTCATGAAAAACTGGCTATTTCATTTCAACAAACACACATTACATGTTTACCAGACATAATGCTTAGGGTTGAGTATACAAAGATAAAAAAAACCACATGCTGGCTGTTTCATCAAATACATAGAAACCTAAAAGAATAAAGAAACCCATAAAGAGATCATTTTAAGAAGGGGAATAAAGGACATGATATAAACTCAGAGCAGGACTGCTTAGCCCCAATCACTAGATTGGTCATCACTTTTGGGATGGCATAATTTCTAACATAATCTTTAAATGCAGGTAATGAGTTAAGTAAGTAAATAAGTCAGAGTTTATCATGTTTTAGCAACAGGAAAAGCATGAGAAAATATATGCAATTATAAAATAACATGCATATGTTGTAGGAACTATATTCTATATAATTGTAACATAAACATCAAGTTATGCATATTAGTGGAAAAGGCTGTAGAAGCAGGCCAAGACCACGACACAGAGGACATGTTGTATGCCATATGGATAATCACAATAGAGCCAGAGACTTGCTAAATAGAAGTGGAATAAGGCCAGTTTTTTCTTGTGGATAAATCACTATGGCAACATTGCGGATGGTGAATTTCAAGAGTGCAAGATAAAAAGCAAAAGGTCATGGCTCATATTTGGTATTATATTTGCATCAAGTAAAATAGACTAACCCAAGTTGGACTGTGACAAATATGCTGAATCTTACAGAGTTGAATATTTTTTATCCAGATGATAAAACATATAATGTATTGAATGGCAAAAATTCCATCTATGTAGATATATAGAAAATGAAGAAAATTTTTGATTAGACATTATATTACATAGATCGGACATTAGATCTGACATTCTATTACAGCAGCCATGTGAATTTTGCAGTTACATGGTTTTACTGTTTCTCTTTGTTTTCTCTCTTTATAGTCAGGATTTTACCTGAGTATCTAGATTATTTCTCAGCTTTTATTTTACTTAATCTATAGTGTTGGCCTCCTCTTAGGCCTAAACTGAACTATTTCAAATATCTGACTCCTAATTGTGCAACCTTAAGGCTGTCAGAATCACCCCAATGCAGGCCAGAATAACGTGTGTGTGTGTGTGTGTGTGTGCGCGCGCGTGCGTGTGGTCATCTTTATTCTTGGCATGCTTAAATAGATTTTCATAACTGTTCCCTCAGATAACGAGCAATAATAGCTCTAATGATCTCTGAAAAAAAGGAAACAAAATATCAGAAGCAAACATTTGTTTTCATTATTTTCTCAGAGGAGTTTTACAATTTTTATCGCTTGAGTTAGACATCATGTTGTAAAGTGAGTGCCTTAGTTTTAGGGAAGAATAATTCAAGATTGACTATCAAAACCTGACCGTGGATATTTGCTTTAAATTCTTACCACCACTGATTATCTTCTTTCATTCCAAAGAAAAAGAAGAGAAAACCAAACAATTCATTACTATATGGAACTTACACCTCCCTCTGATAAGAAATCAGTTGCTCAAGCACTGAAACAAGATCTTTGCAAATGCATTCTTTTTAGTATTTGAAACTTAATCACATCGTATAGAAACAGAATTTTATACGTAAGTAAAGAATACTATGATCGGTTCCAAGATTCTCCACTTATTCTTGGATTGATTGAAGAGAGAAGGAAATACACCTACTCCATACATTATTATACATTAATGAAGAAATACACATTTCCTTCAAAAGTTATACTGCACAATCTATTTAAGCCTCAGTTTTATTTTCTGTAAATGAATATGAGGATAATAATATCAATAACAATTGTAATAATATCTACTTCCATTGTTGTTGTGAGGATCAAATGACAGGGGGTCTTTAGTATATGCCTGGCACAAGGAAACAAGGAAACACACAAGTCTTAGCAATTACAAATAATTCATATATATATATATATACATATATATATATATATAAAATCACTTTAAAACAATTCTAATACATATTAATGTATAGTTATGGGAGTAATGTGTGTGTGTGTGTATATATATATTATTTATGCAGGACATATCTAAAATATATATATTCATAAATATATGTGCAGGACATATCTTAATATGTATATAAAATAAGGCTTACATTGAATGAGTCAATAAACACAGAATGAAAGATTGCTGAACTTATGGTTTTACTTTAACCAGATTTTTAGGAATTTTCCACTCATGCAATTGACTAGGATAATGTATATGAATGTGTATATGTGTGTAAGTGTTTTTTAACACCTTTATGTATATATATATTACATATTTATATGTAATATATGTAATAAATATGTACTAGACATGTAATAAATATGTATATATTACATATTTAGATGTGTCCTGCATATATACTTAAATAAAAATATAAATCTGCATCTATATACACATTTAAATGTGTCCTGCATAAATGTAGCAATTCACAATGCTACTGACGTGATCCTACCAAGCAAACGTTTGAGTAATCCTTCTTCCTCTAATTGTATTCATTCAGATCAATGCAATCAGTCCCACTCAAGTGGACGATCATGCAATGATTCTTTACAAAATTGGTAAATGAAACATCAGTTTTCCTAGTGACAAAAGCTTGTATCTAAGGGTTTTACAAACACTGAGAAATCAATAAATAGTGCTGGAAAAGTATTGTGAAGGATATTGTTAGTTTCAAAATTAATCATATTTAGTTTAATATTGTTTAATAATACTGATTAGATTTTTACTGTAGGTTAAATTTCTGAGCGAAGCATTTCTCTCTCAAGACTATGTTGCCCACCACACAGTTTTAGAATAGCAGTATATTATGTTATTATTAGCCTATTTATTTTCTACTGGCTGCTGCAGAAAATAAACACCTCTATAATGACCACAGTCTAGATTTCAGCCTGTGTCAAAAGGATTTTGAATTATACTTCATTTTTAGCTTTTGCTCCCACCCTTTGCACAAAGTAGAAGAGACAGAACAGAAATGTTTTCCTAATTGCTGTTGCAAGAAATACTTCATCTAGAAAAAAATGAGGAATTAATTTATTTTAGCAGGAAAAAATGAACAATAAAAAATACATAGAGTGAAAAGTTGTAGTCTTCTAATACCTCTTTTTTACTTGATGACTCAACTTTTTGGGAGGTTTCTGGGTCTACCACCTAATTATTTTTACTCAAATTTTATTCCTGGAAGGAAGATGGCCATATGCAGTAATTTATGGTTCAAACCAGAATACTTTTGAGGGTGAGAGCGGTATTGTTAATAATAATGCAGCAGGCATAAACCGGATTGCTTTGGGAAAACCAGTATATATGATCACCTGTATATAAGGGACTACAATTTCAGTACTTGACAGCATGGCAACACTCTATTTAGCAATGTTTTAGGTTTATTTAATGGTCACTTCCCTTGCCATGTGGTAATTACATCTGCTAAAAGGGTAAGAGGCTGCTTGCTGTCACAACTCAGGCTATTCACATACTTAATAGACCTGAACAAATACTCAGAAGAGTTTCATTGAATAGCTGTGTGTACCATTGAGATAATCTATCATTTAACGTTTCAAACAAAAATGATATCTTTCCTCTGATACTTCAAGTCATTGCAACATATCAGTAAAACAGCATTAAGGAAGTGTTGATAACATATCTTTTGAATGCTGATAATGTGACTAGGTCTAGTGACATCTTTCATATATTTAATCTGACAAACATGAACATACAACACTTGAAAATAAGAGGACTTCTTGATTTATAGGGAGTATATTGTCACTATGAGTTTTTTCATGCCATAGATATCCATTCCTAGGGCAAAACAATAAGGACAACGTACAAAATCAAATCTGCTCATGTATCACATGGATGAAAACTAAGGAATCATAGAATTCTGAGTAGGTATAGACCTTAAAGTTCATTCTATTTTCCAACATTTTATTAAAAATAATCACCTTTATAATATCCATAATTTATGAGTATATTTTTCTGACTATAAATGTCCAAAAATGTCGATAAATTCCTCAAAAGAAAGCCCAGTTGAAAATATACAGGAGTTTATTCATTCAACCTTAATTTGAAAAACTAATAAAAGTTATTATTTTTTTAAACCTTACTTCTAATGTCTTGAACAATGCTGTAGAGTTTACTCAGATTTTAAAATTAT
Source organism: Homo sapiens (assembly GCF_000001405.40). Classification (NCBI taxonomy): domain Eukaryota; kingdom Metazoa; phylum Chordata; class Mammalia; order Primates; family Hominidae; genus Homo; species Homo sapiens. Next base: position 54,711,832 of record NC_000010.11, read on the forward strand.
AATCCTTAAGTAGTGGGACTAAGCAAACCTGTATTAAACCATTTTGCAATGTATAATATCTTCTATTTCTATAATTATCATGGATTAACTTCCAGATATGTCATAAGTAATTGTATTGAGATTTGTATAATGTTTAATTGCTTCTGAGTTTTCTGCCTTTGATTATACAAATGAATATTACACATCCTTAAATTCTGAAATACTTACAGGTATTTCTCGTATATACGTAGTAGTGTAATTTGTTCCCTGAGGCACTCCTAAATTTGAATGTAAAGAGTATAGAAATTACTTTTTCCCTTTACAAGGTACAATTTAATTATCAATTCTTTTCCTTTACTTAATCTTCAAAGTTTCAAAAAGGGAGAGACAAAGAAAATCTATTGTCAGTAGAAAAATGAATATTTAAAAAAGCAGAAAACATCATTGGGTAGTTAGGCTAAAAGAAATAATCTGTTCTCCAAGTTCAAACAAAGCATTTCGAAATTCATTGTTTTAAGCATTAATTTATATTGCTAAATTTTAAAAGAGATTTAAAAAATCATAACAGCTAAGACACAACAAGCAGTAGAAGAGACATATGAAGAAATACTACACTGATGGAAGAGACAATGATGAAAAGAACATGTCATTTGAAGCAGGATTGTGATAAGGAGAGTTTTGAAAAAGTTTGAGTGCTATAGAAAATGTCTCATATTTATAGCAGAGGTTAGAAAGAACTCAGATGTCAATGCAAATAATGGAATTATAGGTTGATGGGTGCACCCTGTTCTCCAGCTGGAAAAAGTGTAGTTGGGGCTTTGGGTGTACAAAACTAAGGGGGCAGTAATTTAGTTCATATAGCCACGGAAAATAACATTCTAAACTAGAATTGGAGGCTACATTTAGCACCCCCTAAGATGATGAGAAGAGCTAACCAACTGGGTTGAAGATTGGTACCAGTTTAAACTGAAACACTAGAAAGAATTAATCATCTTATGAGTTATAGCAAGATTCATGTCCTAAATTTTAATTATCATAATAATTTTAAACAGATGGATAGTTTGGATAAACTTTGAACTTCACTATGCAGTAAAACAGATTTTAGTATTCCATGTTTTAAATAGACCTGTAAGAGATGTATGATAGAAAACGTTGGCACAGATGAAAATTACGAAGATAGCTTTTAATTTCTACCTCAAATTTTTAAAAGATTATCTCTTTATGCCATAGGTAATGGGCATCATAAATCACTAGCTGCAAAAGCAGGTAAGTGTGAACATTCCTTCAATGCCTTGGCATAAATCTAGAACAGTTATTTCTTTAGACTTTATTTCATAGAATTCATTCAATTTGGCATGTGTTCATAGATGTGGCTGTTTGTAACTGAATGAAGTTAAAACACACACACACACACATACACACACACATACACACACAGGGCCTGATTTCAAGTTTTTTTACATTTAATAGTCCACATTAAAGAAAATATTCTTCAACAAAATTAAATTTCAAAACTCCTTACATGAGTCATTGTACAACTTAATACTGTGAACAGACGCACGAGAGGAATATATTTAGGTAAATAAAACTTGTACAGGTTGGAGAACAATATTCTACCTTTCATAGTAGCACCGTAGTGTTGTTCAAATTGCAGCTTTATGCTAATTAGTGTTGTTCTGGCTTTTTAAAACGTTTAAGAAGTAACAGTTTAAATAAATTCCGAATTGATTAAGTAGTCAGTATTCCACAGATCATGGAAGATTTTAGAATTCTGGATATATTTCCATTCATCTGTATAATCAGTGTCTGGGCAAATAATCAATATGTCTAAAATCTTCATGACGAAACACTTAAATATTTCCTGACAAAGCTCTAAGAACATTTTAATATATCTGGCCATATGCCTGTAAGGTTGTATTACATTTTACAGGTATCTTATTTATTTAAAATTTGAAAATTGCGTTTTCTAAATTTACTGAATTTCTTTCCCTAGACCTGAAAAGGCAAAACATGTTTTATCAAAAAGGTTAAATCCTTTCACCACAAACTCCATTTTGACTTTTCCCTTGATAAACATTGAAGTAATATTTTATTTTGCTTTCACAGAAGAACCAAATGGCTCACATTAATTCTGTGTCTTATGTTTATCAATGAACCAATAGATTGTGATGAACAGAATCAAGGCTTTGAAGTTGAAAGTGTCTCTGACTGATGCTACTTCACCTCTGTGAGACTCAGTTTTCACATCAGAAACACTGGCCACGTAGCAGCCCCTTTATTCTTCGGTTATATTTTCTTTCACAACTTCACAGTTATACAGGACTTAGAAAGAACAATGTCAGACAGACTAAAGTGGGACACTGAACTGTAATCAGAGAAGGAGATCTCTTTTTGAGAAAGGTGTCAGATATCCTGTGAAGTGAACTGTCTATCGCAAACATCACTGGTGTCTCTAAACAGCTCCACCAGTCGCAACTAAAAGTTAGCCTTTTTCAGCAGTGTAGAGATGAGAAGAGAGACTGATAGGTAATATGAAATAATAGAACTTACAGCACGTATTCAGATTGTATTTGTGTCCAGTCGCAATGTATAGGTTCATACATGTAAACTTCAAACACATATGTACAGTTTAAGCTTCACTCTTTATCCTCATTAGGATTCAACAAAACTGTTTTGTAAAAAGGCCTTAAACATTCAATTAATAGCAGTATAATCTAATTCCAATATAGGAATCATAACTTTCAAAAAGATCCATTTGATTCAATTTTTCTAAAGTACATAATAAAAGTCATCTTATAGGCTTCTTACATATCTTAGGATATCTTTTAGAGTCATAGTGAATTGGCTTCATTAACTGGTCTTGAGGTTTGGGAAGTTAAGTTCTTCAAGCCCATGGCTAATAGATTTAACATTCAAGACCATCCATTTGATATATTTTCAAACTTCACAGGACTCCTGTTTTTATTCCCAAACTATAACCTTTTGAGGTCAAAAATAAAACTTTTTAAATCTTCATGTATTCTATTCACTTAATGTTATAATTTTTATAACTTCTATCTTTGTGGTATAAACAAATATATTCAAGTGTGAAAAATTTTAACATCATGTTGTGTGGTAAATTTATTTACATTCAGTTTTGGGGTAGAAAGTGTATTCTTAAAAAGTTTAAAACCAACTGTTTTCATGATTAAGCTAATAGAAATTATTAAGCACATATTTGTTTGCCAAGAGAAATATTGAGATTGCTGATACTCATTTTTTTTTCTCCAAGAGTAAACTATAGTGAGTTCCACAAATGCAGTAAATATATCTGTTTTAGTTCACCACTATATTTCAAGTGCAATGCTCGGTTTAGACTTAAAATAATTTTCCTTATGCAAGGTAACTGACTATATAGAAATTATTTGAATAGAGTTTGATTTTTCTATCCATTAAGAAATTACCAATATGGAAAATAAATTTCCTTAAGGGAAGGTGGAGGCATAGGCAGATTGATTCTGCTCACCCTCCATCTTATTCCCCCAAGTGTAGATTGGTCTTGTTAAATCGCCCATGCACTTGTTGCAGAAACAGTCAAAATGGCGGGTTAGAGGCTGTTAGCATGCCTCAGCCACTCGGAAATAGCAAAACAGTGCATAAAGATTGACACTGTGAGCTTTAATTCACGAAGGAAAGTGGGAATTCACCAGAATAACAAAGGACACTCCAGATCCAAGGGAGAAGATAGTGGGCAAGCCACCCCCTGATGGCGTTTGGCTGGTAAAACGATATGGGTGCAGTGGAACATTTTCTTTCATGGCCAGACATATCTCCAGGCTTTTGATGCACCATATCTCCTGGGATAGGAGCTTCAGTTGCCATTCTTTTCCCACACAGACAATTTAGTACAGCAGCACTCCCTCCACGTCACACTCAGACATACCTCCAGTCATTTGGCACACACACGTCCACAGATTAGTAGTTTGAGCCATTCATCCCTTCCCATGCAAAGACCTTATTACAGCAGCAGTTTCTCTGCTTTTGGCCAGGGTATATTTGCAGGCATTTGACACACACATTCTCTTGGCTTAGGAATCTGTGCTGCCCCTCCCTTCAGGTGCAGAGATTGTGGTACATTGGTGCTCTCTCTTCTTGATGCCCAGACATATCTCTGGAATTTGGAGCACTCACTCTTCTAGGTTATGATTTAGGCCACCTCACTCTTCCCATGCAGAGAACCTGAGGCAGCAGAAGTTTCTAGAATTCATGCCTAGGCACATCTCCTGGTTCTCACAGGCTGCCCACTGGGACCCTTTTCAAAGCTGATGCATGTGCATGCCATTGGGAAACCTGTGGGTGGGCCTGCTCAGTCTGGTCCCACACATCTTGGATCTTTCCTAAGGAGGAAGGTGATACCACTGTGCATTCCACAGATCAACCCATGGTCTGAGGCAACAGAGAGCTTCTCCCATTAAAAAAGGATTAGGTATATACCCACCTATTTTGACCACAGGTGGCTCATACCCATAAGTGACACCTACTGGCCTAGAGTTTGAAATGCAAAACACAATAGAAAATGATATTGATTCTTCCTATCCATGAGCATGGAATGTTCTTCCATTTGTTTGTATCCTCTTTAATTTCATTGAGCAGTGGTTTGTAGTTCTCCTTGAAGAGGTCCTTCGCGTCCCTTGTAAGGTGGATTCCTAGCTATTTTATTCTCTTTGAAGCAATTGTGAATGGGAGTTCACTCATGATTTGGCTCTCTGTTTGTCTGTTATTGATATATAAGAATGCTTGTGATTTTTGTACATTGATTTTGTATCCTGAGACTTTGCTGAAGTTGCTTATCAGCTTAAGGAGATTTTGGGCTGAGTGAAAATGGCCATACCACCCAAGGTAAATCATAGATTCAATGCCATCCCCATCAAGCTACCAATGACTTTCTTCACAGAACTGGAAAAAACTACTTTAAAGTTCATATGGAACCAAAAAAGAGCCCGCATCACCAAGTCAATCCTAAGCCAAAAGAACAAAGCTGGAGGCATCACGCTACCTGACTTCAAACTATACTACAAGGCTACAGTAACCAAAACAGCATGGTACTGGTACCAAAACAGAGATATAAATCAATGGAACAGAACAGAGCCCTCAGAAATAAGGCCGCATATCTACAACTATCTGATCTTTGACAAACCTGAGAAGAACAAGCAATGGGGAAAGGATTCCCTATTTAAAAAATGGTGCTGGGAAAACTGGCTAGCTATATGTAGAAAGCTGAAACTGGATCCCTTCCTTACACCTTATACAAAAATTAATTCAAGATGGATTAAAGACTTAAATGTTAGACCTAAAACCATAAAAACCCTAGAAGAAAACCTAGGCATTACCATTCAGGACATAGGCATGGGCAAGGACTTCATGTCCAAAACACCAAAAGCAATGGCAACAAAAGACAAAATTGACAAATGGGATCTAATTAAACTAAAGAGCTTCTGCACAGCAAAAGAAACTACCATCAGAGTGAACAGGCAACCTACAAAATGGGAGAAAATTTTCGCAACCTACTCATCTGACAAAGGGCTAATATCCAGAATCTACAATGAACTCAAACAAATTTACAAGAAAAAAACAAACAACCCCATCAAAAAGTGGGCAAAGGACATGAACAGACACTTCCCAAAAGAAGATATTTATGCAGCCAAAAAACGCATGAAAAAATGCTCACCATCACTGGCCATCAGAGAAATGCAAATCAAAACCACAATGAGATATCATCTCACACCAGTTAGAATGGCAATCATTAAAAAGTCAGGAAACAACAGGTGCTGGAGAGGATGTGGAGAAATAGGAACACTTTTACACTGTTGGTGGGACTGTAAACTAGTTCAACCATTGTGGAAGTCAGTGTGGCGATTCCTCAGGGATCTAGAACTGGAAATACCATTTGACCCAGCCATCCCATTACTGGGTATATACCCAAAGGACCATAAATCATGCTGCTATAAAGACACATGCACACGTATGTTTACTGCGGCACTATTCATAATAGCGAAGACTTGGAACCAACCCAAATGTCCAACAATGATAAACTGGATTAAGAAAATGTGGCACATATACACCATGGAATACTATGCAGCCATAAAAAATGATGAGTTCATGTCCTTTGTAGGGACACGGATGAAATTGGAAATCATCATTCTCAGTAAAATATCACAAGGACAAAAAACCAAACACCGCACAGTCTCACTCATAGATGGGAATTGAACAATGGGAACACGTGGACACAGGAGGGTGAACATCACACTCTGGGGACTGTTGTGGGGTGCGGGGAGAGGGGAGGGATAGCATTGGGAGATATACCTAATGCTAGGTGACGAGTTAGTGGGTGCAGCGCACCAGCATGTCACATGTATACATAGGTAACTAACCTGCACATTGTGCACATGTACCCTAAAACTTGAAGTATAATAATAATAATAATAAAAAGAAAATGAGCTGACACAAGTCAACAGACAAGTCAACAGCAGTGGGGAATGAGATAGGCTTCCTGAGATCTCCATGATTCCAGTCCAATAGGAAGCATTGAGCCTGCTCACATGCACAGTGCATTGCTACTAAAAATAACATTCAGGAAAGCCATCATACAAAGGCTATATGTAACCAAAGAACTTATACAGACTCTTTAGCCCTGAAAGCACCCAGAACCAAAGCCAGAAGGACCCTACAAATCATACATTATAGACACCTCCTGAAGGAGAAAAATTCCATCCAAATTAAAACAAATTCAAAAAATAAGGAGAGATAGCTTATCTAGATGATAAAGAACCAGAGAAACAACTATGAAAGTATGAAAAACAGAGTGCCACAACACTTCGAAAGATCACACTGATTCTTTTTTTTTTTTTTTTTTTTCTTTTGAGATGAAGTCTCACTCTGTTGCCCAAGCTGGAATGCAGTGGTACAATCTCGGCTCACTGCAACCTCCACCTCCTGGGTTCAAGCAATTCGATTCTCCTGCCTCAGCCTCCCAAGTAGCTGGCACTACAGGCATGCACCACCATGTCCAGCTAATTTTTGTATTTTTAGTAGAGACGGGGTTTCACTATGTTGGCCAGGCTGGTCTTGAACTCCTGACGTCCTGATCCACCCGCCTCAGTCTCCCAAAGTGCTAGGATTACAGGCATGAGCCACTGCACCCGGTCCACACTGATTCTTTACCAATGAATCTAAACTAAATGAAATCTTTGAAATACCCCATGAAAAATTAAAAATATTGATTTTAAAGAAGCTCAATGAAATCCAAGACAAAGCTGAAAAAAACACAAAGAAATCAGAAGAACAATTCAGAATATTAAAAAAGGGTAGATATCATTAAAAAACAAACAGAATTTCTAGAAATAAAAAATTCATTAAAATAATTACAAAATACAGTTGAAAGTTTTAACAGTAGGCTATACCAACTGGAAGAAATAACTTCAGAGCTGGAAGACAGATCTTTTCAATTAATCCAGTAAGATAAAAATTAACAAAGAGTTTTTTTAAAAACTTAACAAAGCCTTTGAGAAACATAGGATTATGTAGTGTCCAAACCTACAAACTGTAAGTATTCCAGAGGAAGATGAAGAAAAAGTAAAATGTAAGGAAAATGAAGAAATAATTCAGCAAAACTCCCATGGGATTGTCTTTTTTGTGCAAATGGTAGCTATTTTTATTATTTCCTTTTTTTTTTAAATTTTACTTTAAGTTCTGGGATACGAGTGCAGAATGTGTAGGTGGTTACACAGATATATGTGTGCCATGGTGATTTGCTGCACTTATCAACCTGTTATCTAGGTTTTAAGCCCCACATGCATTAGCTATTTGTCCTAATGCTCTCCCTCACCTCAGCCGCCACCCCCCGACTGGCCCCGGTGTGTTTTTTTCCCCTTCGTGTGTCCATGTGTTCTCATTGTTCAATTCCCACTTATGAGTGAGAATATCCAGTGTTTGGTTTTTTGTTCCTTTGTTAGTTTGCTGAGGATGATGGCTTCCAGCATCATCCATGTTCCTCCAAATGACATGATCTCATTCTTTTTATGGCTGCATAGTATTCCATGGTGTGTATGTACCATATTTTCTTTATCCAGTCTACTATTGATGGGTATTTGGGTTGGTTCCATGTCTTTGATATTGTAAATAGTGTAAATCAAAACCACAATGAGATACCATCTCACACCAGTCAGAGTGATGATTATTAACAAGTCAAGAAACAATAGATGCTGGTGAGGCTGTGGAGAAATAGGAAAGCTTTTACACTCTTGGTGGGTATGTAAATTAGTTCAACCATTGTGGAAGATAGTATGGTGATTATTCAAGGATATAGAACCAGAAATGCCATTTGACCAAGTAATCCCATTACTGGGTATATACCCAAAGGAATATAAATCATTCCACTATAAAGATACATGCACAAGCATGTTTATTGCAGCACTTGGATTGTCTTGGGAGAAATTTGGACATCTAGATACAAAAGGCTCAGAGAATTCCTAGTAGATAAATTGGAAAAGCCTCACTAATGCATATAGTCATCAGAATTTTCAAAGTCAAAGTGGAAAAAAAAATCCTAAAATCAGCAAGAGAGAAGCATCTAATCACCTATAAAGAAAATCGCATCAAACTAACAAAAGACTTTTCAGCAGAAAATCTACAAGCCAAAAGAGATTGGAAGACTATTTTTAGTCTCTTCCAAAAAAAAATACCAGCTAACAATTTTATATCCTGCCAAATGAAGATTCACAAATGAAGATGAAATAGTCTTTCCAAGACAAACGAAAGGAATTCATTACTACCAGATCACCTTACAAGAAACTTTCAGTACAACTTTCTTCACAACAAAGTTTCAATGCAACAAGGTTTAACTATCTATCCTAAATATATGTGCATCCAACACCAGAACACTCTGATTCATAAAACAAATACTACTGGTCCTATGAATAGAGATAGACAGTTATACAATAATAGTGGAGGACTTCAACACCCTATTGACACCACTAGACTGATCACTGAAGCAGAAAATCAGCAAAGAAACTTAACTTAAACTGGACTATAGACCAAGTAGACATAATAGGTATTTACATTACATTTCATCCTAAACCACAGAAAATACATTATTTTATCTTTGGATAGAGCATTCTCCTAAACCGACCATATGCTTAGCCATCCAGCAAGTCTCCATAATTTTTTAACAATAAATCATATCAAGTATCTTCTTGGATCACAGTGGAATAAAATTAGAAATTAATACCAAGAGTAATTCTCAAAACTACACAAGTAAATGGACTAAACAACTTGCTTCTGAATGACATTTGTGTAAGCAACAAAATTAAGGCAGAAATCAGGAAAGTTTTTGAAGCAATTGAAAATACAGACACAATATTTCAAAAGCTCTGGGATACAACAAAGAAAAGTACTAAAGGCAAAGTTTATAGTGTTAAATGTCTACATCAAAAAGAATGATCTCAAAGTAACATCCAAATTTTGCACCTCAAGCAACTAGAAAAAGGACAAACCAGACCCAAATCTAGCAGAAGAAAAAAAATAACAAAGATTATAGTAAAACTAAATGAGATCAAGACCAAATAAATAACAAAAAGGACCAATTAACAGCTAGTTCTTTGAAAGGATAAACAAAATTGACAGACTGCTAGTTAAATTAACCAAGGAAAGAAAGAGATTCAAAGAAGTACAATGAGAAGTGGTAAAAGTGACATTAAAACTGATACTACAGAAATACAAAAGATTATAAGAGACTACTATGAACACCTTTATGTGCATAATCTAGAAAGCTTAGAGAAAATGCATTTCTAGAAAAACAGACAACTTCCCAAGATTGAAGTAGGATAAAACAGAAATCCTAAATAGACCCATAATGACTAACAAAGTTGAATCATCAACAAACATCTACCAACAACAAAAAGTCCAAGAACAGAAAGATTCAAAGCCAAATTTCATGAGATATACAAAGAAGAGCCAATACTCATTTTACTGACACTATTTCAAGCCATCAAGGAGGAAAGACTCCTCCTTCTCTCTTTTAACAAAAGTGGTATCATCTTGATAACAAAATCGAGCGAGGCGACAATGTAAAAGAAAGCTACTGGCCAATATCCTTGATGTGCCTAATGCAAAAATCTTCAACAAAATACTAGCAAACCAAATCCAACAGCACATCAAATATACAATACACCATGATCCAGTGGGTTTATCCAAATGATGTAAGGATGGTTCAACATACGGTAATCAATAAATACGGTTTACCACATAAAGAGAACTAAAATAGAAAAAACATATGATTATCTCAAGAGATGCAGAAAATTCATCTGATAAAATCAACACCCCTTTATGATGAAAACCCTCAACAAATTAAACATTGAGAAACATACCTCAATATAATAAGAGCCATGTATGACAAGTCAACAACCAAAATTATGCTGAATAAGGGAAAGTTGAAAACAATCTCCATAAGAACTGGAACAAGACAGGATGTCAACTCTTATTCTTATTCAACATAGTAGTGGAAGTCACTTGTAATGTCATTTTTACCATTTATCATTATTCTTCTGGGAATTTCTCTTATCTCTTGGTTAATTTAACTAGCAGTCAATTCTGTTTATCCACTCAAATAACTAATTGCTTGTTTAGTTGATCCTTTGTGTTGTTTATTTGGTCTTGATCTTATATAGTTCTGCTATGATCTTTGCCTGATCTTTCTTCAGGCAAAATAAAGAAAAGGCATTGCAATTGGGACCAAAAAAAAAAAAAAATGTCAAATTATCTCTGTTAAATGATGGCATAATTGTGTATCAGAAAACCCTAATGACTCCCCCAGAAGACCTCTCCACTTGATAAATGACTTCAGTAAAATTTGAAGACACAAAATCTGTGTACAAAAATCAGTAGCATTTCTATACACCAATAACATTCAAGCTGAGAACCAAATCAAGAATCAATCTCATTTAAAATAGCTGCAAAAAATAAAATAAAATACCTAGAGATACAATTAAGCAAAATAGTTAAATATCTGTACAAGAAGAATGACAAACACTGATGAAAGAAATTATACATGACAAAAACAAATGGAAAACCATCCTATGCTCATGGATTGGAAGAATCAACATCATTAAAGTAAACATACTGCACAAATCAATCTACAGATTCAATGCAATGCCTATCAATTTAGCAATGTTATTTCTTACATAATTATAAAAAAAAAATCTTAATGTTTAGATGGAAGCAAAATAGATCCCAAATAGCCAAAGCAATCCTAAGCAAAAAGGACGAATCTAGAGGAATCACATTGTGTGATTTCAAATTATATAATACTATAAGTCTATAGTAATTAAGATAGCATGCTACTAGTACAAAAATGGAGACATAGATCAATGGAACAGAAAAGATAACTCAGAATTAAAGCACACACTTACAATCAGTCGATCTTCAAAATGTTAACAAAAGTAAATAGGGAGGAAAGATGCTCTATTCAATAAATGATGCTGGGAAAATTGGCTAGCCACGTGCAGAATAATGAAACTGGAACCATATCTCTCACTGTGTACAAAAATCAAGTCAAAGTGGATTAAAGACTTAAACATAAGACCAGAAACTATAAAATCCTACAAGAAAACCTAGAAAAATCTCTTCTGGACATTTGCCTTAGCAAATAATTTATAATGATGACCCTGAAAGTAAATGCAACAAAAACAAAATAGACAAATGGGTCTTAATTAAACTAAACAGCTTTTGCACAACAAAATAAATAATTAACAGATTAAACAGATAACCTAAACAATGGGAGAAAATATTTTCAAATCATGCTTCTGACAGAAGACTAATATCCAGAATCTACAAGAAACTCGAACAACTCAACAAGAAAAAAAATAATTCCACTGAAGAGTGGGCAAAAACACGGACATTTCTTAAAAGAAGAAATACATACAGCCAACAAACACATAAAAAATTGCTAAACATCAGTAATCATCAGAGAAATGCAAGTTAAAATCACAATGAGATATAATCTCACCCAGTCAGAATGGTTAATATTAAAAGTCAAAAAACAAGAGATGTTGGTGTGGATGTCAAGAAACGGCAATTGTTTATACACTGTTGGTGAGAATGTTAATCAGTTCATCTTCTATTAAAAACAGTATGTAGATTTCTCAAAGAAGTAAAAGTAGAACTACCGTTCAACCCAGCAATCTCATCCCTGAGTATCTACACAAAGGTAAAGAAATCACTGTAGGAAAAAGGCATCTGCATTTGTATGTTCAACACAATACTACTCATAATAGGAAAGTAATGGAATCAACCTAAGTGTCCAACAGCAGTTGACTGAATAAGGAAAATGTGGTGTATACATCATGACAAACTGTGCAGCCATTAAAAAGAATAAAATTATGTCCTTTACAGCAACTTGGATGGAACTAGAGGTCATTATCCTAAGTGAACTCAGAAAATAAAATATTCCATGTTCTCATTCATAAGTGGAAACTAAACAAGAGGTACATATAGATGCAAAGATGGAAATAACACACCTCAGAGACTCAAAAATGAGCGAGGGTAGAAAAAGTTTGAGGGTTGAAAATTACCTATTGGTTACAAAGCTCACTATTTGGCTAATGGATAGAGTAGAAGCCCAGTCCCTAACCAATATACAATATAATTATGTAACAAATATGCATATATACCCCCGAATCTAAAATAAAATTAAAATTAAAAAAAGAAATTAATATTAGCTGTAGAGAGTAGTATATCTTCACTGAAAAGTTATATGTTAATTTTGTATGGTGCACCAGAATATATAAAAGTATATTTACAGTACATAAAAATTGTAACAAAATATATATTTCCTTTTAAAATGGTTTCTGGAATAAACGACTCAACAGAAAAGCAAGACTAAAGGTAAACAAGAAAGCTATATACATATAGGTTTCTTATATATGTGTGTTAGTATACATATATACATATATATAATTTTAGATTCAGGTGGCACATATACATATTTGTTACATTATTATATTGCATAGTGGTGGGGATTGGGCTTCTACTCTACCCATTAGCCAAATAGTACATATATATATAGATATAGATATAGATATAGATATATAAATAGATACACACATGCACACCTATGCACACATACATACATATATTTAAAAACACAGCTAATGTATACCTTACATATATATTACATACACATATATTTTAAAAGCATGTTCCCATTAGTCCGAAACACAGAAATGGATTTTATGAATTTGTATGCCAGAATAAGACATCACATTGAGTTGTAGAATATTCCAACACTGTGGGTTCATGAGCCATTCTGAAAAATAAATTACACCAATAATGGATTCCAATACTTTAACCATTTCTTGCGAAATTTTCTATATATTAATATTACTAATTTGTAAAAATATTTACATTATAGTCACAGACACTAAAAACCTTAAAATCATTGAAGAAAATGTCCATTTTCTTAGTAAATGAATGAATATTTAAATTATACAGTAATGAGCGAAATTTAGTAATGAACTGAAGTTTAATTCAAAATTACAAATTAGCAGCTTAGATCAGGCATGATTCCTCATGCCAGTAATCCCAGCAATTTGGGAGACCAAGGTGGAAGGATCACTTGAACTCAGAAGTCTGAGACGAGTCTGTGCAACACAGTAAGACCTCATCTCTACAATTGTTTATGTTTATATAAATATAATTATATATATAATTATATATATATATAATTGGAAACTCATTTCTCTGATTAAACAAAGGAATGTAATTAATAAAACACTGCAACCTCATTATTCATAAAGAAATAGTCTACAATTTGTATTTCACTCTAAGCAACTCATTTAGGAGCTTGAAAATTTTATTTTTACAGTTTTTTAAAGCACAAAATGAGCACATTCAAGCTAAAACTGATAAAATGGGAATAATACCATCCATGTGAGTGGCTGAGCCTAGTAATAATTTGCAGTAAATATTATCACAAAAAGTTGGAACTGGAATTCTTGGGAAACTGTTTTCTGCTGAATAATTTCAAGTTGGAATTCAGTTCTGGTAAAAAAAAATTACTGCTGATATGCACTAACTTGATTGTCACAGGTTAGCATGTAAATGAAGAAAGATTTAAGCAGGTACCTGTCTAAATTAATGTAGGCAGCTGTTACAAGTACATGCATTCAAACCTCAGGGCATAGCTCTGCCTCTCTAAAAAGGACTTGCCCAAGATCAGAATATAGAATAAGAGCTTTACATTTTATCTTTATTTAAATTCTCCCTCCCCTTTTTGTGGAATTGTGAGTGAGCAGCAATACTACATGCCTTTTATAACCCTTTCTAAAAATATATTGACCACAGTTTTACTAACAGTTAGAAAATTGGAGTATGATCTCAAATATACTTAATGAAGACACACATTCCACAGAAAAAAATTAGTTTAAATTTAGTTTCCTAAGAAAATAATTATTATTATAGAGAAACTATTTTGAAAAAGGAGATAAGAATTTAAAATATTTGTAAAATAATAAAGTTGATTCTCCAGTCATACCTCAAAATCAGTTTCATCTTTAGCACATTTCTACCCATCAGGGGTGTGTGTGTGTGTGTGTGTGTGTGTGTGTGTGTGTGTGTGTGTATTTGAATTGACAGTGAATAGCTATAAAATAAAGTGGTATGAAACAGGACCGAAAATGCTAGAGAAAGAGAATGATGAGAGGGCACAGGTCAAATAATAAAATGAGAGATATGGAATTCAGAACTTGGTTTTCAATGAAGATCATCGAGATTCACAACAAAGTATAAATGCAATCCAAGTAATCTAAGGAATCTAGCAAAATGACATAAGAGCTGAAAGACAAAATATTCATTTATAAAAGGAACAAACTGATCTGATGAAGCTAAAAAGCTGACTACAAAAATTTTGAAAAACAATCAAAAGCACTACACAGCAGAATAGGCCAAGCTGAAGAAAATCTCAGAGCTCTAAGACTGGTTCTTCAGGTCAACTCATTCGGATTAAAAAGAAGAAAAAAAAAACAGAGTAAACAAAATAAACAAAATCTCTGAGAAATATGGGATTATGTAATGAGACCAAACCTGAAATTAATTTGCATCTCTGAAAGAAAGAGAGAGATTGCAAGAAACTTGGAAAATATTTTTGTGGGTATTAACAT
This sequence comes from Homo sapiens, assembly GCF_000001405.40. Lineage (NCBI taxonomy): Eukaryota > Metazoa > Chordata > Mammalia > Primates > Hominidae > Homo > Homo sapiens. The sequence goes on from NC_000010.11 coordinate 54,727,002, forward strand.
TAACCATGGAAATGTCTCCAATATTGCTAGAGAGGTTGACATGAAAACTCAGGAAAGACATTTGAGAACTATACTCAAACACTTGACTAGATGAGCCTAACAGATATCTATAGATTTCTCCAACAAAAAACAGCAGAATATACATTCTTCTTACCTGCACATGGTACACTAAAATCAACCAGATGATTTTCCATGAAGCAATTCTCAACAAATTAAAAAAAACACATGCACACAAAATCATATCAACCACATTGAGACCACAGCACAATAAAAATAGAAATCAATACACGGGAGATCTCTCAAAACTATACCATTACATAGAAATGAAACAATCTGTTCTTGAATCACTTTTGGGTAAACAATGAAATTAAAGCAGAAAACAAGAAATTATTTGAAACTAATGAAACAAAGATACAACATACCAGACTCTGGGACACAGCTAAAGCAGTGTTAAGAGGAAAGTTTCTAGCACTAACTGCCCACATCAAAAAGACAGATTTCACACTAACAACCTAACACCACACTGACAGGAACTAGAATAACAAGAGCAAACCAATCCCATAGATAGAAGAAGACAAGAAATAACCAAAATCAGACCTGAACTGAACAAAACTGAGATGCATCAAACCATACTGAAGACCAACAAAAATATGTTGGTTCTTTGAAACAATAAGATTAATAGACTGGTAGCTAGACTAGAAAACATGACAGAAGATCCAACTAAATACAATGAGACGTGACAAAGGGGATATTACCACTGATTTCAAAGAAATAAAACAAACCCTCAGAGAATCTGGTGCAGATTTCTAGTCACATAAACTAGAAAACCTTGAAGGAATAAATAAGTTCCTGGAATCACACAACCTCCTAAGATTGAACCAGAAAGAAATTGCAACCCTGAATACAGCATTAATGAGTTACAAAATTGAATTAGCAGTAACAAACCAACCAACCAGAATAAGCCCTATACCAGATATATTTACAGCTGAATTCTACAAAGTGGCTTAACAAAATCTGGTACCAATCCTACTGAAACTATTCCAAAAAACTGAGGAGGGACTTCTCCCTAACTTACTCTATGAGGCCAGCATTATTCTGATACCAAAACCTGGCAGAAACATGAAGGTAAAAGAGAACTTCAGGCTAATTACTGTGGTGAATGTAGATGCAAAAATCCTCAACAAAATACTAGCAAACTGAATCCAGCAGCATATCAAAAAGTTAATCAACCAAAATTATGAAGGCTTTATTCCTGGGATGCAAGGTTAGTTCCACATTTGCAACACAATAAAATGATTCAGCGATCCATCGTATAAACAGAACTATAAACCAAACCACGTGATTATCTCAATAGACACAGAAAAGACTTTTGATAAAATTCAGTGTCCCTTTATGGTACACATCCTGAACAAAGAAGACATCATTTTGAATATACCTCAAAATATAATAGCCTTCTATTGACTGACCCACAGAGAACATCATACTGAATCGGCACATGCTGGAAGAATTCTTCTTGAGAACTGGAACAAGACAAGGATGCCCAGTTTCACCAATCCTGTTCAACATGATATTGGAAGTCCTAAACAGAGGCATAATGCAAGAGGAAGAAATAAAATGCATCCAAATAGAGAGGTATTCAAACTATCTCTGTAGACAATGGGATTCTATGCCTAGAAAACCCCATAGTCCCTGCCCAAACACTCCTAGAATTGATAACGTCAGCAAAGTTTCAGGATACAAAATTAATGCACAAAAATTGTAGCATTTCTATACATCAATAGTGTCCAAGGTGAGAGCCAATCAAGAGCACAATTGCATTCATAATAGCTGCAAATAAATAAAATACCTAGAAAAACAGCTAACTAGGGAGGTGAAAATATTTACAATTAGAATTATAAAACACTGCTGAAAGAAATCAGAAATGAAACAAACAAATGGAAATACATACCATGCTCATGGATAACAAGAATCATTATAGTAAAAAGGGCATACTGTCCAAAGCTACTACAAATTCAATGCTATTCCATTCAAACTACCAATGTCATTTTTCACATAATTACAAAAAACTATTCAAAATTTACATGAAACCAAAAAGAGCCTGAATAGCCAAAGCAATCCTAAACAAAAACAACAAAGTTGAAAGCATCACACTACCTGACTTTAAATTATACGACAAGGCAATAATAACCAGAACAGCATGATACTGGTACAAAAAGAAACATATAAATCAATGGAACAGGTTAAAGAACACAGAAATAAAGCTACACATTTATAACCATCTAATCTGGGACAAAGTCAACTAAAACAACCAATGGGAAACAACTCCCTATTCAATAAATGAAGCTGCAGCAACTGGCTAGCCCTATGCAGAAGACTGACACTGGATCCTTTCCTTTCACCACATATAAAAATGGATTTAAGACTTAAATGAAAAACTTAAAACTATGAAAATTCTTGAAGAAAATCTAGAAAATACTAGACATTGTCCCTGGCAAGGATTTTATGACTACGACTACAAAAGCAATTGCAATAAAAACAAAAATTGACAAGTGGGACCTAATTATACCAAATGGCTTCTGCACAGCAAAAGAAACTATCAACAGTGTAAATAGAGAACCTACAAAATGGGATAAAATATTTGTAAACTAGACTTCTAACAATGGTCTAATATCCAGAACCTATAAGGAATTCAAACAATTGAACAACCATAAAACAAACAACCCCATTAGAAAATAAGCAAAAGAAATGAACAGACATTTCTCAAAAGAAGACATATATGCAGTAAACAACCTATAAAAACATTCTCATCATCAATAATAAGAGAAATGCATATCAAAACCACAATGAGATAGTATCTTACAACGCTCAGAATGACTATTATTAAAAAGTCAAAAACAAAGATCCTGGCAAGGTTGCAGAGAAAAGGGAATGCTTAAACACCGCTGGTAGGAGTGCAAATTTGTTCGGCCACTGTGGAAATCAGTTTGGAGATTTGTCAAAGAACTTAAAATAGAACAATCATTCAACCCAGCAATCTTATTCCTGGGTATATATCCAAAGGAATATAAATCATTCTACCATGAAGACACATGCATGCATATGTTCACTGCAGCACTACTTATAGTAACGAAGACATGGAATCAACCTAAATGATTATCAATAGTGGACTGGATAAAGAAAATGTCATACATATATACCATGGAATACTACACAGCCTTAAATAAGAATGAAATCATGTACTTTTCAGCAACGTGGATGGAACTGGAGGCTATTATCTTCAACAAATTAATGCAGAAACAGAAAACCAAATGCCATATATTCTCACCTATACATGGGAGCTAAACATTGAGTACACATGGATACAGACAAAGGAACAATAGACACAGGGCCTACCTGAGGGTAGAGGGTGGGAGTTGAGGATCAAAAAGCTACCTATTGAGTACTATGCTCATTACCCAAGTGATGAAATAATCTGTACACCAAGCCCCCATGGCATGCAATTTACCTTGTAGAAAACATGCACATGTACCCCAAACTTAAAATAAAAGTTGGAAAGAACAAATCATAAGAAAGTAATCAAAGTAGAACCCAGATATAAATCCATGCATTCACAGCCAACTATTTTTTGAAAAAGGCACCAAGAACAGGAAATGGGGAAATGAGATTTTCTTCAATAAATGATGCTGAGAAAACTGGATAACCATATGTAAAAGAATGAAAATGGACTCCTATTTCTCACCATATACAAAAATCAAATAAAAATAAAGACTTAAATTTAAACCTGAAACTATGAAACTATTAGAAGAAAATATTGAAAAAATACTTAACGACACTGGTCTATGTAAAGAGTTTTCTTTGTGTGTGTAATATCTCAAAAGCACAGGCAACCAAAGCAAAATATAGACATATGAAATTACATTAGGCTAAAAACCTTCTGCACAGAAAAGAAAACAATCTAGAAAGTAAAGAGACAGCCAGAGAATGGAAGAAAATATTTGCAAACTATCCACCTGGCAAGAGATTAACAACCAGAATATATAAGGAGCTCAAGCAACTCAATGGCAAAAATAGATGAAATTAAAAATGGGTAGAAGATCTGAAAAGACATTTTTCTAAAGAGACATACAAATGGCCCACAGTTGTATGTTGAACAATGAAAAATTGTTCAACATCACTAGTCTTCAGTGAAATACAACTCAAAAGTGCAATGAGCTATTATCTTACCATAGCTTAAATTGATTTTATCAAGAAGACAAGGAATAACAGATGCTGGCAAAGACGTGAAGAAAGGAGAACTTTGTACACCGTTGGTAGGAATGCAAATTAGTGCAACCACTATGAAAAAAAGTATGACAGTTTCTCAAAAAAATTAAAAATAAAACTACTATATGATCCAGCATTTCCACTATTAGGTATACATTCACAAAAAGGCAGTATATTGAAGAGATATCTTCACTCCCATGTTTATTGCAGCACTATTTGCTATACCCAAATTATGGAATCAACCAAAGTGCCCATCAATGAATAAAGAAAATGTGAGATAGATATATATATATATATATACACACACACACACACACACACACACACACATATATATATAGTTGAATATTGTTAAGTCATACAAGAGAATGAAATCCTGTCATTTGTAGCAACATGATGGAACAGGAGGTCATTATAAGTGAAATTAGCCAGGCACAGAAAGACAAATTGCATGTTCTCACTCATATGTGGGAACTGAACAAGTGACTATCATGAAGATAGGAATTTGATTATTGGGTACCAGTGGCCAGGAAAGGTAGATGGGAAGGGAGGGTGAAGAGAGTTTGAATAATAGGCACAAATATACAGTTTGAGAGAAGAAATAATATCTAGTGTTTGATAGATCAATAGGGTGATTATAGTTTGCAATGATTGATAGTATATTTCAAAATACTAAGAATAATTTGAATGTTTCTAGCATAAACAATAAATATTTAATGGATATCTCAATTACACTGATTTGATATTTACAAATTATATACATATATGACATTATCACATGTAACCTGAAAATATGTACATCTATTATGAATCAATGCAAAAATTGGAAAAAAAAATTAAAAATAAAAATAAATATACCAACAATGCTGTGAATAAAGGTAATCAAAGCAGCACAGTAGAATACAGAGAGCATGGAATGAGAAGCAGACAAACTTAAATTCAAATTCATATTAGGAGACTTCTAGCTAAATGATCGGGGGCATATCACATTAATAAAAATTATTAACCTCCAGAGAGCCAGAGCCAGAGACAGAGCAAGTCAGACACAGAGAATGAAAAAACATCCAAACTACCAATATCCTTATGAAAGACGGGACATCACTATAGAACTTAAAAATAACAAAAATATAATAAGGAAATACTGTAACAACTCTACATTTGCAAATTCACCAACAAATATAAAATGGACCAGTTTCCTTGAAAGACACAAGACTCACTCAAGAAAATAATGGATAACCTAAGACATGTCATATATTTAGTCAAGCAATTAGATTTAGACTTAAAAATTCTTCCAACAAAGAAAAATTTTGTCTGGATGGACTCACTGGGGAATTCCACTAAATGCTGAAGAAGGAATTTTAACAATTCTGAACAATCCCTTCCAAAAAATAGAAGAGGAAGTAACAACTCTCACCTGATTTTACAAGGGAGCATTGTCCTGATACTAAAGTCAGACAAAAACATGATCAAGTAAAACAATGAACTAATCTCTCTCATGAGCATAGATGCAGAATTTCTTAACAAATTATTAACAAATTGAATATGGCAATATATACAAAACATACTACATCACAGTCAGGTGGAGCAGATTCCAGTAATGAGAGCCTGTTTCAACATCAGAAATTGAGTCTACATAATTCTTAATATTATCAGAATAAAAAGAAAAATCAATAGATTCAGAAGAAAAGCATTTGATAAAATTCAAGATTTGTTTATGATATACACTTTCAGTAAACTATAAGTACTTCCTTAACCTGATAGAGTTTGTCTACGAAAACGTACAGCTAACATTATAATGGCGAAAGACTGACAAAGCAAGTATATCTCTTCCTCATCACTACTATAGAACATTGTTTTGGAACCTAGACAGTAAAATAAGACAAAGAAAATTAATAAAATCCTCCAGATTGGAAAGAAAGCTCTCTCTATTAAAAAGAGAACATGATTATCTATGTAGAAAATATCTGAAATCTCAAAAATGAAAAGAAAATAAACTTTCAAGAATAGCAAAAGAATTTAGTAAGTCACAGGATACAAAAATCAACTGCATCTCTGAATGTTAACAATGAACATCTTTAAGTCAAAAACTGTAACCATACCATGTACAATATCATAAAACAATTAGATATTTAGGTTAAATTCTAACAAAGTATATGCATGATCTATATTCAGAAAAATACAAAACACAAAAGAAATGAAAGAAGGCCTAAGTGATGGGTATACATATTCTGTGTTCATGTATTTGATGACTTATTAATGAGATAAATTATTCCCAAATTGATTCTATACATTTCCAATTGAATTCTTAGCAGGATATTTTTAGATACCAAAAAACTGATTATAAGTTTACATAGAAAAGGAAAATAATTATAATATCCAAAACATTTTGAAAAAGAATTTATTTCAAGATCTCCCACTACCTGATATTCAAACTTTTTTAAAGTTATAGTAATCAGGACAGTATTTTATTGGCAAATGGGTAGATACACATATGAAAGGAATAAAATAAATAGAATATAAATAGAACCACACAAATGTTTATTTTCTGACAAAGTTGCTTTAAAGACAATAATAAAAAGACTTAATTTTAAATAAATAGTGCCAGAAAAATTAGACCTCCAAACGTAAAAACAAAAATGGACCTTCACCTGTACTTCACATTTTTTATCAAAATCAACAGTAAAGGATATAGATATAATATAGAATGTAAAATGTTAAAACTTTACAAAAAAAAACAAAGAAAATTTGGAACATAAGTTTAAGCAGCCATTTTATAGAAAGAATATCAAGAGAAAAAACATTATTAATTGGACTTTAACACACTTAAAAAAATGCTCTGCCAAAAAACATATTTAAAAAGTGAAAAGACTAGTCAAAGATTAGAAAAAATATGTATTTGTCAATCCCCTATCTGACAAACTGTATGCATTCAACACAGAGAAAGAGCAATTATGACACGATAATAAGGAAAATATGTGGGCAAAGTTCAGTACAGGCACTTTACCAAAGAAGAAATATGGACTGCAACTAAGCAAATGAGAAGATGCTCAACAACAGTCATTAGGGGCATGCAAATTGAAACCACATTATAATATTTTTTTAAAGGCTAAGATTACAAAGAAAACAAAACCTTGTTACACTAAATACCAGTGAGGAAGTAGAGCAATTGACACACTCATGCATTGCTGGTGAAAATGCAAGATAAGACAACAACTTTGGAAAATAGTCTGCCAGTTTTTAAAAAGTGATCATTTAACTACCAAATGACCTTGCATCACCACCCCTAGGTATTTACCCAAAACAGATTAAAACTTATGATCACTCAGAAATCTATGCAAATGGCTATATTGCCCTTATTCATAATGGTGAAAAATGGTAAGCAATCGAAATGCCTTTCAGCTAATAAAAAGAAAAATGAGCTCTGGTAATCCATACAACAGAGTACTATTGAGTGGTAAAAAAAGAACGAACCAACTATTGATACCTACAATCCATGTGGATGAGTATCAAATGGATATCCTAACTGAAAAAAGTCAGATTCAAAGGGTCATGCATGATTTAATTTACATGACATTCAGTAAAAAGCAAAACTATAAGAAAGAGAAAATTTTGCTACAAAGCAGCAGCATGGAAGTTTCTTTGGGGTAATGAAACTATTTCAGTATCTTTATTGTGATGGTGGTTACAAGACTACATGTTTGTCAAATATAATATTTCATACCCTAAAGTGTGAATTTTACTATATAAAATTCAGTTAAAATCATTAAACTATACATTTCAACTTATTATATGAAAACTAAATCATAATACAACTGACTTTTAAAAAACATCTGGTATATTAACCACTTTATTATACTATCCCTTTATAGAAATTCTCATGTTAAATCTATATATTTTATGCATAGAAAAATCTACAAGAAAAGATAGTCTCAAAAGTATATTTGTCCATGAGGATTTTGCTTTTGACCAATTTGGTTAATTCTACTATTTTATTATTTGAGTGTCTTGAAAAATATTCTGTGTATTTTCTGTGTCAGTCAGAATGATTGCCATTCTAACTGGTGTGAGATGATATCTCATAGTGGTTTTGATTTGCATTTCTCTGATGGCCAGTGATGATGAGCACTTTTTCATGTGTTTTACACTGTTGGTGGGACTGTAAACTAGTTCAACCATTGTGGAAGTCAGTGTGGCGATTCCTCAGGGATCTAGAACTAGAAATACCATTTGACCCAGCCATCTCATTACTGGGTATATACCCAAAGGACTATAAATCATGCTACTATAAAGACACACGCACACGTATGTTTATTGCGGCATTATTCACAATAGCAAAGACTTGGAACCAAGCCAAATGTCCAACAATGATAGACTGGATTAAGAAAATGTGGCACATATACACCATGGAATACTATGCAGCCATAAAAAATGATGAGTTCATGTCCTTTGTAGGGACATGGATGAAATTGGAAATCATCATTCTCAGTAAACTATCGCAAGAACAAAAAACCAAACACCGCATATTCTCACTCATAGGTGGGAATTGAACAATGAGATCACATGGACACAGGAAGGGGAATATCACACTCTGGGGACTGTTGTGGGGTGGGGGGAGGGGGGAGGGATAGCATTGGGAGATATACCTAATGCTAGATGACGAGTTAGTGGGTGCAGCGCACCAGCATGGCACATGTATACATATGTAACTAACCTGCACAATGTGCACATGTACCCTAAAACTTAAAGTATAATTAAAAAAAAAAAGAAATATACTTTCTGAATGTCAAGATCTCGACTTTCTTTCCTTAGGTCAAACTGCATTTTAGAGTTATCCCTCTTGAGCACTTAGAAGCTGCAATAATCCTGGCAATTGGCAAACTGGAGACTGAATCTAACTCTGTAGCATGTGACCATAGACAACAGTATCATCACATTATTTCTCTAAAAAACAGCCACCTTGCTCTTGATAAATGCTGTAATTCCCATTTTAGTAGACAATCCTTCCTTTCAGAATCAGGTTTGCCATTTGATTTTATCAATCACAAGTTTCAAATGATCAATAATCCATTAGAATTATTTTCAAAAAAATAGCTTTTGGAAGATGATTTCAACATATTTCTTTCTCTCTCACCCACCCCATCCCCCAACAAACGCAGCCCTCAGTATTTATAAATGTGCCCCATGCTGCTTTCTTGGTCATGCTATGACCATCACCAGCATTACACATGTTGTTGTACTTATCTTCTTTCTAAGAATACTTCAATCATCATTTAGTACAAAATAAAATTCATGTTTCTAACAAAAACTCTTCTTCATCTCGGCAAAAGGAGAACTCTTTCCTCTGCAGTTGTGTGTAGTTTTTGTATGAGTTTAGTAAGATATATTAGATGGTACTTCATAGTAGTTACGTAGGTCTGAATATACCTTCTTCTACTAGGTTTTAAGGTTCTTAAAGACAGTATATCAGCATTTTTGAGAAAGAACTTTAGGCGAAAATTCATGTCCCATATTTTTGTTAGGAACTATGATTCTAGAGAATAGGGTGTGAGGGAAAAGGAGAGTGAGGCAGGAAGCAAGCAGGGTCAATATGACAATGCATTACTGAGCTGGTCACTGATGGCATCAGGTATAACGAATCACTTGATTTTGAAGGACTGTCTTCAAAAAGGTCAAATAATCTCTTTCCAGGGGGGACAAAATCATAGGCCAGCTTCTGTTTCTCTCTGAATTAAGGTTTACCAGAGGGAGCACTACCTTCCTGTACAAATGGATTGCACATCCATGAGTGCTACAAGGGTCCCAAAGCATTACATGCCTCAGTGGCAGCACTGAATTCTCACAGAAGACATGAAAGAAGCACAGAAAGGACCTGATGTTAGACCTGCCGGGTGCTTCTTATGCGAAACTGGCCAGAGGTCACTCATATTCGTTGCTCCAGGTGCTGGCGCTGACCCAGTGGCTATCTGCCCTGGATATAGGTGACACTGAAAGAACCTGAAGTGGCACATAAGAGGTGTCTGATTGAGCATGCATTTGTGGTAAAGCTGTAACCATAAAGCTGAAGTTCATCTTTGAATCACCCACTATACTACAAAATGGTGTATACATCAATTATTAAAATACTTGCTAAATAAATAAGATTTCTAAGAATGTATAATGGAAAGGTAAGAGTGAATGCTCACAATATAGGTGAGCAATCCTGCTTACAGAAAAGGTAATGAGTTAGTAAATTCCAAATGTATGAAATTGAAAAGAGTGTTAACTACTAGTGTAAGTACAAAATTATACAAATACTTTGCTGAAAAGTCAGGGCCATTTTCTTATTCTAATTTTAGTGAAAACAGCTGTGTGACCTCTCTGGGCCTCACTTTTTTTCATCTGTGAAGTCAAAAGCATAAATTTGATGACATTTAAGATTTTAGTCAAACTTTGAAACTGATGTGTTTGAAGTTCTGAATCTATGGCAAATAAATAATTAAATATTAATTTATTAGGTATGATTGAGTACAAATTGTGAGTTAGGCACCTCTCCAGTTCCTAAGAATACAGTAATGAAAAAGCAGATATGAATACTGCCCTATTCGAGTTTAAATCCTAATGTGGAGAGTCACAAAGCAAAATAAATATCTATGCAATATGTTAGAAGTGGGGAGGCCAGAGAACTGCATTGCATGTTTACTCGGGTGGCCAGGGTAGGAGTCACTGAAAAGCTGAGCTGAAAGATCCAGCCAAATGGATAATGGGGGAGGAGCACTCTAGGCCATTGTCTGAGCAGGGGGTGAACTTCACATGTTCTGGAGAATAACGAACTCTTTGACTTGAGCCACATGATAGAAGTTAGAGACTGTTATGAGGATGATGCCAAAGAGTTAAGAAGGACAGATCATGTAGCACCCTAGGACATTTTGAGAAATTTGGGTTTTACTCAGAATGAGTCATTGAGGATTTTGAGCAGATAAATGTATAGCTTGATTTAGGTTTATAAAAGGATCAGGATCAAATTGGCTGCTATATTGAGAATAGATTATAATGGGGCAAGTGTGTAAACAGAGATATGGAAATAAATAGTTTCCAAAAGACACATCTAGCATAATTTCTGTAAGGTAACAATGTGGCTAAAATGTGTTTTAATTTAGTATTTTTATGGTCGTCAGGGTGGTTAAAAGGTTTTATTTATTTTAAAGTAGGTAAAACATGAATTTACTTTACAAACATGTAAAAAACAACTAATAAAAGTTCTACTCAAACTATTTCAAAAAATTGAAGTGGAGGGAATACTTCAAAACTCATTCTATGAGGCCAGAATTACCATACCAAAACCAGACAAACATGCAATAATAATAATAACTATAATCCAATATCTCTTATAAACACAGATGCAAAAATCCTCAAAAAACACTAGCAAACTGAATTCAACAACACAATAAAAAGATATTTCACCATGATTAAGTGAATTCATCCCAGAGACGCAAGTATAGTTAAACATATGCTAATCAATAAACATGATACATCATAACATATGATCATTTCAATAGATGCTGAAAAGGCATTCCATAAAATCCAACTTTCCTTCTTTAAAAAAAAATTTCCTTTGGTTATTATCTTGATTAAAAACACCTAACAAACTAAGTATAAAAGAAGTATACCTCAAAATAGTAAGGGCCACATCTAACAAACCCACAGCTAACATAATACTGAATGGGAAAACATTGAAAGCCTTTCCTCTAAGGTCTGTAACAAGGCAAATAGGCTAACTTTCACCACTCTTATTCAACACAGCATTGGAAGTTCTAGACAGAGGAATGAAGCAATAAAAGTGAATAAAGAACATTGTAAAGGAAGAAGTCAAATTGTCCTTTTTTGCAGATGATATGATCTTATATTTAGAACATAAATATTGAAAAAAACCTAAGGATTCCACTAGAAACCGTTAGAACTGATCCATGAATTCAGTAAAGTTGCTACAAAATCAACATACAACAATTAATAACATTTCTATATTCCAGCAGTAAACAATCTGAAAAAAATACAAGAAAGTAATTCAATTTACACAGCTACCAAAAACAAACAAACAAACAAAAACCCGGGAATAAATTTAGCCAAAAAAGTGCAAGATCTTTACTGGAAAACTGGAAAAGATTGATAAAATAAATTAAAAAGGAGACAAAAACATGGTAAGATACCTCATGTTTTGGGATTGGAAGAATTAACACAGTTAAAATGTTCATACCAGCTAAAGTGATCTACAGATTCAATACTATCCCTATCAACATACCAATGACATTCTTCACAAAATCGAAAAAAAAAAAAAGCTAAAATTTGTATGGAGCCACAAAAGACCACAAATAGCCAAAGCAATCCAGAACTAAAAGAACAAAGCTATAGTATCTAAAAAACAGCATGATGCCGTCATAGAAATATACACATAAGCCAATGTAACAGAATAGAGAACCCAGAAATAAATCCATGCATTTTCAGCCAACTCATTTCAAAAATGGTGCCAAGGACATATGCTGATAAACAAATACTTTTCAATGAATGGTGCTGGGTAAACTAGATAGCCACATGCAGAACAATGAAAATAGACTCTTACCTCTTACTACATACAAAAATCAAATAAAAATGGATTGCATACTTAAACGTAAAACCTAAACTATAAAATAACTAGAAGAAAACATTGGGGAAACACTTCAGGACTTTGGTCTAGACAAAGATTTTTTGGGCAAGTCCTCAAAAGCACAGGAAAGAAAAGCAGAAATAGAGAAATGGGATTACACTGAGCTAAAAATACTTCTACACAGCAAAGAAAGCAATCAACAAAGTGAGGAGACAGTCCACAGAATGGGAGAAAATATTTGTAAACTATCCATCTGACAAAAGGGTTAATAATCAGAATACATAAGGAACTCAAATAAGACAATGGTAAAAAACAAATAATCAAATTTTAAAATGGGCAAAAGATCTTAATAGATATTTTTAAGAGAAGATACACCAGTAGGTATGTGAAAATAATGTTCAAAATCACTAGCCATGGGGAACGTAAATATAAACCACAATGAAATATCATCTCACCCCAGTTAAAGTAGCTATAATTAAAAAGACAACAAATAACCAAAGCTGATGAGAATGTAGAAAAATGTGACCCTCCTACATTCTTGGTGGGAATGTAAATTGGTACAGCCACTATGGAGAACAGTATGAAGGTTCTACTGAAAACTGAAAATAGAATTAGCATATGATCCAGCAATTCCATTCCTTGGTGTATGTCCAAAAAAAGGAAATCAGAATATCCACAAAAAATCTGCAGTCTCGTGTTAATTGTACTACTATTCACAACAGCCAAGACATGACATTAATCTACGTCCATCAGCAAATGAACAGATTAAGAAAATGTAGTATATATACAAAGTGGCGTATTAATACATTAAAAAGAATGCTACTCTGTCATTTGCAGCAACATGGATAGAACTGGAGGTCATTATGTTAATTGAGCTAAGCCAAATACAGAAAAACAAATATCCCATGTTCTCACTAATATGCGGGAGCTAAAAAACTTGGTCTTCTGGAGATAATGACTATAACAGTGGTTATCAGGGGCTGGCAAGGGTAGGGTAGAGGATGGATGAAGAAAGATTGGTTAATGGATACAAAAATATATATAGATAGAAGGCACAATTTCTAGCATTTAATAACACAGCAGGAGTATAGCTAACAATAACTTATTGTACATTTAAAAATGGCTAGAAGATTTGGAATGTTCTCAACACAAAGAAATGATAAATGTGTAAGATGATAGCTACCCCAATTACCTTAATTTGATCATTACACATTGTATGCATGTATCAAAATACCATATGTACCACATAAATATGTATTATTATGTACCAATATTAAAAGAAAAAATATAAACAGAAATATATTTATACATTCTCTTTTTTATATACTAATATTTAAAACTAAATCATACTATATACTAGTATACAAAAACTATATATTAATATATAAAACTAATACATATAAAAATAAAGCCATGCATACATATTTAGTAACTAAAAATGTACTCTTTCTCTTTCCAAGTATTATGTTGTGTATTCCTCTCAATGCCATGAAATAAGTAATTTTTCATTTACAGATGAGGTCACATGGTCAAGGACATATAGAAAGTGAAAGGAAGGCTTACATATTAGTGAAGCATAATCACTGATGGCAGAAAAAAAATGAAGAATGGGGTGGTAGATTCCTATTACTGCTATTACCAATGACTACAAAATTGATGGTTTAAAACAACACAAATGTATCTTATAATTTTGGAAGTCAGAAGTAAAAAATAGGTCTCACTGGACTAAAATCAAGGTATTGACAGGGCTGTGTTTTATCTGTAGGCTTGAGGCAGAATCCATTTATTTGCCTTTTCTAGCTTCCTGAGTCTGGTCACATTGCTTGGCTCATGGCTCATGGCCCCCTTCTATCTTTAAAACCAGCAATGGCCACCTGAGTCTTTCTCAATTTGCATCATTCTGACTTCTATTTCTGCTTCTCTCTTCGACTTCAAAAGACCATTGTGATTATATTGGACCCACCTCAACAATCCAGGGTAATGTCCTTATCTCAAGTCACTTGAGTGGTAATCCTAACTCAATCTTCAACTTTAATTCCCACTTACCATGGGCTATAACATATTCAACAATTGTGAGGTATAAGACATTAACACCTTTGAGTGGCTAATGTTCTGCCTACTACAAATGGTGAGATAAATTTGAGGTGATGGGATGCTAGATAAGTCTTTTCCTTTCCTCATAACTTTTGTCAGAATCTATGTGAATATATATAGCAGAATATGTACCATCACTATTTCAAGGCTATCCCATTTAATTTTTGTTATGAGGTCATTGACTCTTTACAGAAAACATCTAACATGTCAGCGCTTTGTCCTTATTATTGTATTTATCTGTGTGGTCATGAAAGAAGTGGTCTATGTGGGAGACTTTTCCAAATTATGAATCTAGAATACCCATAAATATTTAGTCTCACTTATTCCTACAGTGTGTATGGGTAAGTGTATTATTTTTCATAAGATGATGGCTGGGGAAATTGGGAATACAGAACATGAAGACAGTTAACATACGTGCCAGCCTAGTTGTTACCCCTCATTATATTACAGACTGGTAAATGTATCTACCTAAATGGAATGATGATGCTACTCAAGACTGAAGAAGGTAGCCTTAGAAAATTTTCTAATGTAGATCGTTGAATGTTGAAGACCTTGCCATGTTAAGTGATGTAGAGAAAGGTCCTAGAATACTGGCTTTCTCCTGAAGAGACAATAGATTTCCACTGATGACGTAGAGTGACACATCCTGAGTAAGGCTATAAGGATTGTGGAGACTGACTTTATACCAGGGTGAAGTCGGGACATGTTCTTTCTTCAAAAGCTTTTCTTTAAGGCCTGCATTCTAGAAAGGAGAGACAGTCCCAAGGGTACTTTCCTAATGTCATGGTACACTAGCTCCTGTGTTAAGTTGGCAGCCTGGGGTGAGGGAAGAAGTCTTCGTCACAAAGAATACATTGCCCAGTAGGAAACCACTATGGAAATTTATGGACTTAAGTTATTCAGGAACAGTCATATTGCATACTGAGTTTCAAATGACCTTGTGTAGAAATATTCATCAATGTCTTACAATATTCACCATAAGTCTGGTAAAAGTTACAAACTGGTCTTTATCTAACCGTTTGAAAAAAGAAGGGATAGGTGTCCACAACACAGTGCGGAGTGTTTAAAAGAGAGCCATACAAGCACTAAGAAAGCCAGAAGTGAGTAACCAGCAGAAAAGTAGATAAAGGTTCTGATCTGGATCCAGATGATAAATGGAATGGCAAGTGAAAATCGGGATATATTTTCCAGAAGATAAATGTTCCTGGATATCTTGGAACATCAAGTAAATTATTAAGTTCTTATATATAATAAAGCAAGATTGTAGATTCATCTTTTTATTCAGGCATTTGAGGAAAGTGTGACTTCAAGGACTATTGAAATCTGAGACATATGTTCTGGGTACATTAAGGAGAAGGTATAGTAGTATTGAAGAATATAAAAATATATTTAGGTCTCGTAAGTCAGCACTTCTCCTTACATTAACTATATGACTCCTTCATTGTGGATTATTATTCCATCCAAAATTTCCTATTTAGAAGGCCACATTTGGTTCATGCAAATACGAAAAGATGCCATAATCGGAGAAAAAAGTTTGGAGATCATGAAGATGCAAACAGGAGTATTTCTTAATACTTTATTAAGCTTATACGAATACACTAAAGTACAGTTTTAATTTGGCTTCTAAGTATACTTTACTCTATACAAATTACCACCACTTGAAAGAAAAAAAGAGAGCCAGAGATGAATATATAGTTTCCAACATAATATAGAGGCATAGTAGCATCCTTAACATGACATACACTGTGCTCCTAAATACTGCTCCTAAATATTAAGGATAACATGCTAAAATTTGTCTTTATCCCCATGTTTTGGGTTATAAAATATTAGATTTAGAAAAAAGAAAAAAAAAGAAAGTAAAAAGAAACCACTCTAACACAAGGAATTTTATTTTCATAAAACATCCATATCCATATACTTTGTAGGCAGTTTTCAAAATGGCTTTCAGTGATCCTCTTCTCTTAATATTCATATCCTGTCCTTTCAGCTTGATAGTTGGCTTGAGATTAATCACACTTGAGCTTAATCACTTCCAAGTCTAGATGACAAAAGCCTTTGACTTTTCTCTTGCACATTCTTTTTTGCCTTCTTATTTATTAGCCCTGTCAAAGCTGCTTCTATGTTGTGAGATGCTTTATGGATAACATCCATGTGGTAAAATAGTGAAGTAGGCCTCTTGCCAACCACCAGTTAGGAATAACCATGGAGGAACTGAGTCCCACCAACAGCTACTTGAGTGACTATAAAAGTGGACCCATCACTGGTTGAACCTTGGGATAACTATAGCCCAATTGACACCTTGATTTTAGCCTTGTGAGATATTCAGAAACAGAGGATGCAACTAAGCATTGTTTTAATTTCTGACCCATGGAAACTGAGATAATAAATGTTTGCTGCTTTATCCAGTAAGATTTTGAATAATCTGTTAAACAAATAAATAGTACACATACATATACAAACTTGCAAGATAAAACATAACTTTAGAGGAAAAAAAGAAATCAAGCAAGAACTAGATACAGTTAACATAAACAAAACTCATCATATTTCATTACAGCATGTGGAAATTGTGAAGTATCTTTTTCTTATATATGTTAATTACTCAGTAAAAAATTAGAGTATCGCTGAAATCTGTATACCAAAGTTGAAAAAGACAAAGAAAACTTATAGAATGTATGGGAGGTGGTGAAAAGATAATTAAAAGATTCAAAATCAAAATTTATATAACAGAATTTGTATTTTAAGAAAAATGTAAAGTGTTACAAAAAGTATGTCTCCTTCTCTGGCAGTAATTATCCTATTTGCTATAATATAATAAATAGGTTTTGAGTAACTGTTTTGTGGCCGATTTAAGCAGCAATCCACGTAAACAGACACCTGGATTTCCTTCAGTAAGGGAGCAGGAAATGACAATTACATTCTTCAGCAAAAACATTTTATCTTTGTTTACAGACATTTTGTGTGTGTGTGTGTGTGAATGTTTCTCACAAATTGCAAAGGCCCCCCACCAGTCTTAACAAAGAATTTATTTGACCATTAACTATATTTCATGCGTAACATATATTTTATGACATGAATTATATTTTGAATTTAGATTTTTACATTTTGTTAATTACTACTTCACAAGAAGGGGAAAAATAAAAAATCTTCAAAAAGCAATTATAGCTCAATGATTTAAATCAATTCACCGGGTTATGGTTGTGGCAGATAATAAAAAATTAAATTCTTCTTCCAAAGCTAAGTTGATTACTCTGAGTACCTACCTGTGTTCTTCCAAAATTTTATAAATTACGTGTGATTGGAGCTCAGATGAAATTTAGATTGCTGATTGACTTTAACTATAGGAAAAACTATTCAAAGAAAAGATTAAATGAGAACCAAATCCTTTTATATACACACAGAAAAAAAAACATGAAAGTGAAAGTGATCTAATCAGAAGTATTACAAAAAATAGACAAGAAGAACCAACAGTTATACGATCTCTCTGATAATGGTAAATTCTCTCTTTAAGTAGGCATGTTGCTATTGATGTATGCTGAATGAGTGTGTTTTAGTTTTCCAACATAGCAAATCTGACAGTGAACTTGAAATCAGTTAGACTGGTAAGGGGTTTCTGGCTGGATTCCACATAATGCTGTTGGCTCATGGGATTTCCTTGGTCTAGCCAGGTTTAGAAACAGTTTTTAATCAGTTAATACTGGATTTATTATGTTAAAGAATGGGGGAGGGTAAAACTCACTGATTCAGAAACTGGATAATATATAAGTGTATAATATAAAATTAATCTGCAGCGAAGGCCAGAGTGCTTTCAAATATAAGCCAGTACATTTCTTTAACAGTTTCCAAATGTCTGGGAATTTTAATCACTAATTATAGCATTAAGTGAGCCAAGAATTTTAGAAAAGAATATACTTTTATTAGATATTTTCTTGAAGATATGGCAGTCTAACAAGGAACAATTTTAGATAATAGGAAAACTTATTGGAATAGTAGTCAAAATCTCCTTCCTGAACTGTGAGATAAATACTTAAAAATTTACTAAATCCTTCATTCATAAATAATTCTTATTTTCCACCTATTAATTTGTTAGGTGATTGAATGTTATCTTGCACTCTTATGTACAATAGGGTTTCTCAAGCACAGCACTATTCGCATTTTGGGCCAGATGACACCTTGTTGTGGGGGTGTCCTATGAATTTTAGGATGTTTAACAGCATCCTGGCCTTTCTCCACCTGCTGGATGATTTGCGCCCTCCCAGTTGTGACAGCCAAAAATGTTTCTAAGCACTGTCAAATGTCCTTTTGGGGGCAAAATAATTGTCTGTTAAGATATACTGCTCAAAAAGAAAGAGGGGAGGAGAGCAGGTAGTGGCGATGGTTAATGGGTACAAACATACAGTTAGATGAATGGATAAGATCTAGTATTCATAGCAAGAAAGAGTGACTACAGTCTGCAATAATTTGTTCACATTTTAAAATAACCAAAAGAGTATAAGTGGATTGTTTGTAACAGAAAGAAAGGATAAGTGCTTGAGGTGGTGATTACCCCATTTACCCTGATGTGATTATCATGCATTTTATGTCTGTATCAAAATATCTTATGTACCCCATAAATATATTCACCTATTATGTATCCACAAAAATTAAAAATTAATGAAAGGTTTCTATGACTCATGTGCAAATATAATTATAATCTTAGTGGTCACAACCAGTATATATATTTTTATCCTTCTTGTGTCAGGGTTCCCCAGGACCACTCTAAAGTTTGATGATATACATATTCACAACTATGGTTTATTACAGCGAAAGGCTACACAGCAAAATCAGCAAAGGGAAAAGGCTTATGGGGCAAAGTCCAGCGGACACCACGTACAAGTTTCCAAGAAACCTCTCCCATTCGAGTCGCACAGATGAGAGTACAGATGGTCCCCAACTTACAATTTTTTGACTTTACATTGGGTTTATCAGAGTATTATAGGCATTTGTGACTTACAATATTTTCAACTTACAATGGTTTTATAAGGTGTAACACCACTGTAGGTCAAGAAACATCTGTGATTCATAGCAATGAGTTGTAACACCAGTTGTGGAATGTCCTCTAGATAAGTTCATTAGAGACTTAATGCTAACTGCTTAGCACATACCACATTTCCAGACTTTCAGAAATAAAGCAATTGTTTAGAAAAACCATCATTGTTTTTACAAACTGTTTAGGTACTACACACCATGCTTATCAGTTAGGGAATGACGAGATCCCTTTCAGAAATCCAAGTTCCCAGACACCAGCCACTGGTCAACTTTGCAAAAAGATCATTCTAATCACAGCAGTCTCAGGTCTGTTATGTTAACCCTTTCTCTATGCTTTCCTACAAAATGTTTTGTGACATGTCAGCTGCATTTTAGGCACCCAAAGACTTATACAATAAATAGGTGAACTAATTAATCAACCAGTGATGTTTTCAGTTAGAATTCCTTAAATGTCTCTATTGACACGTTTGTTCCTAAGGACTCTTACACCTACAAAGAGGAAAATGTTCCACATAATAAAGCATAACTACAGTTTTATAATAGAGGAAAATTTTAGTTAATCAAATTGTACCAGCATTAACCTGCATTTCCAGAAAAGTCTTCAAACAACTCAAGATCCAATGGGAGGAACTCATTTTCAGTGAAAAGAAAATGATGTATGGTAATATTCTGGTCGATGTAACTTTCAAATGCAACCACTAAGAGAAAGAGGAATTTAAATTTCTTGAATCTAAGACTCCATGAATAACCATTTTCTGTCAAGGAGCCAATATTATTTTTAAAAATAAAATCACTCAATGGTTACATTTTTTTTTTTTTTTTTGAGACGGAGTCTCGCTCTGTAGCCCAAGCTGGAGTGCAGTGGCGTGATCTCCGCTCACTGCAAGCTCCGCCTCCAGGGTTCACGCCATTCTCCTGCCTCAGCCTCCAGAGTAGCTGGGACTACAGGCGCCCGCCACCACGCCCGGCTAATTTTTTGTATTTTTAGTAGACACGGGGTTTTACTGTGTTAGCCAGGTTGGTCTCGATCTCCTGACCTCGTGATCCACCCGCCCCCGCCTCCCAAAGTGCTGGAATTACAAGGCGTGAGCCACCGCGCCCGACCACTCAATGGTTACATTCTTATTTGAGATATGGAGTTGTCTAGAGCCCTTCACTCAAGACGATCTGCTTTAGATTAATAGGATGCTTTGAGAAAATAAACTTCATGTTACTTTTGAGAAAATATGATGCACATTAATTTTATGATAATTAATGTTGAAACACCTCCCATAACCACACATCCCTCTTTTATACACGGGATAAAATTGTTAGTTTAGATTTTATTACTTAATTATTGTCTGGTCATCACCCCTTATCCCCTCCTGAATATTTAATGAGACCAAGGTCCGTGCTCTTTTTTAATTCACATTTGTCTCTCCAGGACCTTGCATAGGATGTAGTAAAGAGTATTTAACAAGAATCTGTTAAAATGATTTTTTTGAAAAAGCTCAGAGAGATAACTGTCCATACCCCATGTGTCCCCACGGTATATTCGATCTTTATTTTGAAGGCAAACACTATATTTTAAAAATCAAAATCTAATAAAGATAAAGCACCATCCCTTTACAGGATTGATTTCTTTGATTGTAAAGTGTGCGAAAAAAGGGTTTCCGGTGCACTCTGACACCATTCATAAAATCCTAACCAGGACCTGGTAAGGCCTTAGTTTGTCAACACTGTACCAGAAATCTCTAATATAAACAGGCTCATATTATAATCTTCTGCATTTGTAATTTTTGAGAACAGGGTGGAAAAGCACTCATTTAAGTGGAGGATTTTTCTTTTAAATGCTGTACTTGAGAATGTATCATTATTCCAGATGAGACAGATAAGACGCGTTGCTCCCTTGCCCTGGCAGTGGATTTGTTTGTATATTATGCTTTCTAACTCTCTTTCTTTGCTGAGCTAGCTATTTTATGTTTCTTTGTGAATGACTGTACCTTAAGGGAACTATATTCTGTATCCATTATTTTATAAAGGTGAGTGGGCTCAGTAAATGCCTGAAAAAGTACCTTGACTAAGATCACAGAGTTAACATAATAAACCTGATAGTGCTGTAGGAAGAAAGACCTAGTTAGGTGTGGAGTAAAACTTAGCCTTATAATTCCCAGGCCAAAGTGTTTCCACCATCACCAAATCAGCGTCAGTAACTAATCAAATAACAATTTATTTAAGCCATTAAAAAATGTAATGCTTTCACTGCAATGTGAACATATATTTAAACATGATGACGATTTGTAAAAACAAAGATTTTTAGAACTAAGAAGAAATATATATTACAAAGTAGTTAGTATTAAATAAACTGTTTCCTGGATCCTGAATGATGATAAAAGTTTACCCCATTAACACTAGGGAGCATATTCAAAGAATCCAAAATTCTAGCAATTCTTTGGTTTAGTAGAAGCCACAAGAAGATAATTTATATCTGAAATTCTGTAATATTACAGCATCCCAGTTCCTTTTGTGAAACCCAGAGTTCCATTTACTCATTCGAATGGCTATACTTTTTTAGAATCTCTTCAAATTTGTTCCATACATACTTTTTAGATATGAACTAAAATTAGGCAGAGTAATATAGTTTTCTCCTCAATATGGAATTGAAAAAAGAAATACTCCAGTTACATTTTCCAGCTGAGTACTTTGGCTTATTATTGGATTTGATTTTACCTTTAACAGTGATACAAAGGCAAATGCAATTGACAAAGTTAAATATGTGGTAGCAGAGTTTGAAGTTTAAAACCCTACGTGCTTGCTTGCTTGCTTGGTTTTGCTTTTGTTTTCTTGAGCAATTGTTGACTACTCAGCCTGCTCTGTAAAGTTAAGAGCATAGACTCTGGAGTATCAGATGTAGATTAGAATTCTATTTTTGCCACTACCTATATTTATGAATTAAAACTTTTTTTTAACTTCCCTGATCTCAGTTTTCTCATACTTTAAAAGAAATTTATGTGTAGACAAGGAGGGGTCTTACTACTCTCATTAGCAATAAATAATATTATTACTTCATTGTCAAGTTTCCTACTACCTAGGTACATGAAGCGCCCTTGCTCTGTCTCTCTTTCTCTCTTTCTCTCCTCTCTTTCTTCCAGTTTCCTTTATTTAACAGCAAGTTAAAAATGCAGTTGGAGAAATCAATTTATTATTCTCAAACAATTTATTTTACATTTATAAAACCGTAGAGATGGCTTATATTGTTTATGTGACATTGTTTATCCACAGGATAAAAGAAAAAGAGTTAAACAGTAAATAATTAAAATTGTTAGTTTATCCACAGGATAAAAGAAAAAGAGTTAAACAGTAAATAATTAACTCCCACAGCTATAGTCATTCCTCTTTAAAAACTCTAGTCAACTAACCAAAGGAAACACCTTTTTGGTGAATACAGGTAAGTTAGGGCAAAGTTTTGGTAGTGAAATTGTAAAGAATCGATTACTACTGTGATGAATCAAATCATAAAGAATTTAACTTCACTGTACTATACAATCTATTTTCAAGTTGAAAGTTAGTTAAAAATGTTTCACTTTATTTTCTTTGAAGACAATAAGTTGGAGGCAATTCAAACATTTTATTATGAATTATCAACTAAGTTTATTTAAATAATGAATTTATCTTTATGCTTAATGCAAATTGCATATACATTGTATTCAAAATAAAATGCAAATACCAAAGAAAAATTGTTTTCTAAAATAATGTTACAAGTTTATATTTGTTTCACAGTAAATTATTTTTAAATTTTTGTCAGTTTACAAACAAAAGATTGCTTAACAATTGCAAGCAGCAAATTTACCAATATATAAAATTCAAAATGTTCTTCCAAACACAAATATAATTAAGCAGCAATAAAAGCTTAGTATATGAACTTTATTAATAGTGGTTATATCTAGTTTGTAGTTGCCAAGAAGTACCAGCTTTACATGCACTGGCAACAGTAATAAACAATTTATGGCTTTCTAATAAACAGATACGTGTTAAAAGCACATTTAAAAGAAATACCAGAAGAGTTTATAACATTTAGCGAGCATATGGTCTCTATAAAGTAGTAAATTAAGTACTTTATAAAACTGTTAGTATTAATACTATATTACAATATTTTATATTTGTGCTGCATAGTTTTCAAAGTATCATTTAGAAGGATTCTAATATTTTTAGAACTTATTTATTCTTCCCAACTTTGCCAGATAAGATTTATCTCTACTATGTTGAAGAATTAAAACTGAGACTCAAGATGGTTAAAATTTTGACTGACGTATTTCACCACTTGGTAGGAGGGCCAGGACTCATAATTAGGTTTGTGTAATTCTAAGTCAATGATTGTTCCAGTTTATCTTGCTGTTGCTCAAACAGGTGTGCTTTTAAATTTGCTTATAAAATATGCACAAACAGATGGCACCTGCTAAATACATAACTGGCAATAATATCTTGATATTTTCAAATACTCAAGAGTAATCTAGCACAAAGAGCTCAGAAATTTGCAACACAATATATTGCACCCAGAAAAAACCCTTAAAACCGTCTAGTTCAATCATCTATGTTAGAGAAAAATTGGACAAATAGAATTAAATGTCTAGCCAATTTACTATCTAGAAAATTTCAAAGTTCAGACTCAAAAATCACTTCTTTGAATCCATTTCTAGAGCTTTCTGTGTTACATCAAGAAAACAGATTTTTTTCCAAATGTTTATGTTTCTTTGTCCAATCTAAAGGATGAAAGATACTAATTCTCTGTAATACATAAGAAGAAAAGAGAATTAGACAGTATCTTTATCAAGTCCCATCAGATTAGCAACAAATTTACAAAAGTGATGTTATAAAACTTTTTGACTAAAAGGCTTTCCCAATATTATAAAAAGGGTATCACATTATACTGCCATTTAATGCTATTAAGAAAACATTACCTACTACAAATAAATCTTACCGTCATGTTTCTCAATCTATTATAATTAATAAAATATTAGGAAAAGACTTGTTTTATTGTGAAAATGTTATTCAATATATTTTATTCCAGATAAATGGATATTAAAGGATATTTATAGTACTTTCAATTTGTTCTGAAAGCTACATCTGTATTATCAGGAATATGTATAAGCACTAAACATTGTTGCAGAATTTGTCTAAGGCTAACACCATTTTCAACACCATGAAGAATAAAACAGGCCGGGCGCGGTGGCTCACGCCTGTAATCCCAGCACTTTGGGAGGCCGAGGCGGACAGATCATGAAGTCAGGAGATGGAGACCATCCTGGCTAACATGGTGAAACCCCGTCTCTACTAAAAATTACAAAAAATTAGCCGGGCGTGGTGGCGGGCGCCTGTAGTCCCAGCTACTCTGGAGGCTGAGGCAGGAGAATGGCGTGAACCCGGGAGGCAGAGCTTGCAGTGAGCTGAGATCACGCCACTGCACTCCAGCCTGGGTGACAGAACGAGACTCCGTCTCAAAAAAAAAAAAAAACAAAAAACAAAAAACAAAAAACAAACAAACAAACAAACAAAAAAAAACAATAAAACAATTTTCCTATATGTCAGAAAAAACTTCTTTACAGCTTTTATGAAGTGTATAAATCCCTGCATGAATATATTCAACTCAGTGACTCTATTACATTCTTTGATGTCCCTCATGTTTCTAAAAAAAATGATGCCGAGTGTATCTTTAGGATTTGAAAGCAATGAAAGTATATAAAGCCAACTGACAGGACCTCACTTATTTCCTGCTGGTTTATCAGCCGTCAGGAAGGATTTGCACTCAAACTCTTCCACCTTTCCCCCCTTGTTATCAATGGCATACATGGAGCCACAGGAAGAGTAACGCATAGTGTGGCCATCTAAAACAGGGTAAAATTCAGACAGTCTTATAGAAATAAAGTCACAAATGAGGTTCGAAAATAATTACCAACAGACACAAAAGAAGAATCTTTAAAACTCCATGATCTAAATATATATTGACAATATAATTCTATGCCAATGAGTAGTTTTGAATTCAGCACCATATACTGACTGCCTATTTATCACATACTAAAGATACAAATAAGTAAGGAGTTACCCACATATAAATATTCCATCAATGTTTGCACATCCATGGTATATATTATAAAGATACATCTAGCACCAGAGGATGTTGGGTGCTATGGAATAAGAAAATAGAGACGTGATTTTTTTTTTTATTTTCGAGACAGGGTCTCTGTCACCCAGGCTGGGGGGCAGTGGCCTGATCTCTGCTCACCGAAACCTCTGCCTCCCAGGTTCAAGTGATTCTGGTGCCTCAGCCTCCTGAGCAGCTGGAATTACAGGCGCATACACCATGCCCAGCTAACTTTTTGTATTTTTAGCAGAGACGGGGTTTCACCATGCTGCCCAGGCTGGTCTCGAACTCCTGACCTCAAGCTATCTGTCCACCTCGGCCTCTAAAGGGCTGGGATTACAGGCGTGAGCCACCAGGTCCGGCAGAGGCATGAATTAAAAACAAACAAACAAACAAAAAAAAAAACTTAAATTACATTCTCACCCCATCAACTTATTTGATCTTACCAAGTCATTTCATCTCTATCTTCCATTTTTTAACCACAGTGTAAAAACATTTGACTTTTCTTCCCACTATATTGTTGTAAGTATAAAATGCCACAATATATGTGAAAATGGTCTGAAAATCCTAAAGCACTTCTATATTGCTCTATATACACTAGAGCAAGAAGAGGTTAAATGGTTTCCCCTGGTAGCACCTTCCTGAGCACAGAAAGGTGACCTCGGCACCAGGGTGTACTGGCTCACTTCCCTAAATCTGGAATGTAATCTGAAGAGTATTACCCAAATCCTTTTTCTATTGTTTTTTTTTTGTTGTTGTTTTTTTGTTTGTTTGTGTTTTTTTTTTTTTTTTTGAGACTGAATCTCGCTCTGTTGCCCAGGCTGGAGTGCAGTGGCGCCGCCACCACGGCCGGCTGATTTTTTTTTTTTATTATTATTATTTTTTATTTTTAGTAGAGACAGGGTTTCACCGTGTTAGCCAGGATGGTCTCGATCTCCTGACCTCGTGATCCACCCGTCTCATCCTCCCAAAGTGCTGGGATTACAGGCGTGAGCCACCGCGCCCGGCTCCCCAAATCTTTACTGCCAAGAAAAGTGACAGGTTTAGTAATTTCATAGTGGTTTGGATAATTTGGCTTTCAAATTTCCTTTAGATTAGTTCCTTTAGATTATAACATTGCTAACACTATAAAACTCTAGTTTGAGTGAAATTCTTGTGGATTCAGATACTGCAATCAACGAACATTGAGCCAAGGATGAATTGGTGCTATTCCTGGTCAATTCTCTTTGGCAAATAAAGATAGACTCGTTCCATGATTGAAAGCTACATAAAAAATATCTAATATCACTACATATCAAATATAATTTAAAATATAAAATCAAAATTAAGTCCTTATTAAGCCTTGGTAGATTAAGAAAATACACCATTAATATGCCGACACACATCTAATTATTAAATTAAGGAAAATTTTTGTATCAATTTTTGATTGGTAATACAGAAATAAATTTTCACTACAAAGAAATTTTGAATAAGTATTGACACTGATATAAAGTACATCATTTAATTATTATCATTATTTTTTCAAATTTTAGTTATATTTAGAAGATTAGATTACCTTAGATTCCAATTCAAAGACTATATCCCATATGATTATTTCAGCTTTTTTCAGAATGCATTATTTAAAAAACAAAACGTTTATGGACATAACCAATTATAATGTGCTGCTGCTCACAAAACAATTGATTATAAACATGCCAGAAAAAATGACACAAGTCGCATATGTGTTCTTTCCAGATTCAAGCTATTATCTTCTAAATATTCTAAGTAGATAGTAGATTAAGATAATTTATTTGCCATGTTTTTCACACTTAGAGTTTTTCTTTCTTTTTTTTTTTTTTTTTTTTTTTTGGGAGACAGACTCACTCTGTCACCCAGGCTGAAGTGCAATGGCACGATCTTGGCTCACTGCAACCTCTGTCTCTTAGGTTCAAGCGATTCTCCTGCCTCAGCCTCCCAGTCCCTTGCCATCACACCTGGCTTATTTTGTATTTTCAGTAGAGACAGGGTTTTGCCATGTTGGCCAGGCTGGTCTCGAACTCCTGACTTCAGGTGATGCACCTGCCTCGGCCTCCCAAAATGCTGGGATTACAGCCTTCAGCCACTGCACCCAGCCAGGTTTCCCTTTATGCAGAAAGCAGCTTGCAGGCAATGCTAATATTGGTTTAATTTTCTTAGGAGGAACCCAGTATAGTACGGGAAATAATTAATATAATTTGTTCTTAAAAATATAGCTTAGTATTGTATTAATTTTTCTAGAGACTGAGCCAAATCAAGTTTATTCCAACTAAAATACTGCAAACATTTACTTAAGCTAATATGTCTTATTCTTAAAATGCTTAAGGGTGCAGCTCTAGAATTATATTTCTTAGTCACACCTTACTGCAAATTATATTAATTGGAGAATAAATTTATTTATAATCCTAGACACGTTTTAGGAAGAGAATTTGAATGGAATAAACAGGGAAGAGAAAGATACATCTTCTTATGATAAAATAAAGATACTAGAGATCTTTATGACACAATAGTAAACATATATATGAATTATGAATTAATCTAATCATGCTCATACATAAAGATCTAACTGTGTATTTTTCATTTTAAATCAGTTAAATTAGTTACATAATCTACTGTATAAGATTAATAAAAATGAACTAAAAATATCTGTTGGCTCATCAGAATAATGCAGCACTTTTTTCATTGGGTTATTAAGGATAATATTTATAATAATAAGTGCATACAAAGTTCTTATTACAGTGCGTAGAGCACAATGGATGCTAACTGGATGTTACTTTCTCTCTCTCTATCGTGTAAACACCATGAGACAAGGCGCGGTAGCTCATACCTGTAATCCCAGCACTTTGGCAGCGGGTGGATCACCTGAGGTCAGGAGTTCAAGACCAGCCTGACCAATATGGTGAAACCCCCGTCTCTACTAAAAACACACACACACACACACACACACACACACACACACACACAAAATTAGCTGGGCATGGTGGCAGGTGCCTGTAATCCCAGCTACTCAGGAGGCTGAGGCAGGAGAATAGTTTGAGCCCGGGAGGCAGAGTTTGCAGTGAGCCGAGATCACGCCATTGCACTCCAGCCTGGGTGACAGAGACAGACTCTGTCTCAAAAAAATAAAAAAGTAAAAAATAAAAACAAAAAATAGTAAATACCATGAGTGCAAAAAGAAAAGCTATCTTATTACTGACGTGTCCCTATCCTTTATATAGTGTCCATTACGTAATAAGAGCCCATCAGTCATTTTTTTCAATATGTAAATACGGAGAAATATCTTGACTACAGTGCAGGACTCCATGTTTGTTTGGCTCTCTGCTCAAATTAGACTTTTCTTCCATCAATATAGAATAAGCCATGCATAGACATAGTTTCTATTAAAAATCTGTACCCTAATGAGTAGAATGGGCTCACACAGATCTTGGAAAAATACATTTAGTAGGCTTGGTGAAACTGTAATGGCTTTGTACAGAACTCCACTGCAACCCACCTGACAAACTAGGATATGCTAAACAAACCAGTCATTTATGTGAGCGTGTGTATGTGTATGTGTCTTTCTGTCTGTCTGTCTGTATGTATGTGAAAGAGAGAGAGAGAGAGAGAGAGAAACTATGGATACTTCCTTTATAAATTCTGGCTTTGCCTTGCCTTAGAACAGGACAACAGACTTCACAATTTTTCTACATATATGCAAATAAATTCTCGGCACTTTAACTGTCTTTGAGTTACACTTTGATACATCCACAGTGCAATTTATGTCAATAAAAATGAAATTCCTAAGTAGGAGGGAGCTGTGTCTTAACGTGATTAGTATTTGGACTTCCTATTATTGTATTTGAAGACAGAGGATGCTTGGCTTTATGAAGCAAGCTCCCAATTGGATTACCATATGTCTCAAAAAACATGATAGTAAATGTCTTTTGATAGCATGAGATATAAAGGAGAAATATAAAAATTTGCTTTATGAATGTTCTGCTTCCAGCCGGGGTATATTCAGTTGTAGTTAAGATAGTTGTGTTCTATTAGCTGGGGACAATTTGTAACTGTCCTTATTAGAAACATACATGTGTATGCCAAACTGCTAAGAAATGAGAAATTTCTGTCTATATCACCTGTTTTTGGCTTGCTCAGAATTCTACCTTTTTTTTTTTTTTTTTTTTTTTTGAGACGGAGTTTCGCTCTGTCGCCCAGGCTGGAGCGCAGTGGCGCGATCTCGACTCACTGCAAGCTCCGCCTCCCGGGTTCACGCCATTCTCCTGCCTCAGCCTCCCGAGTAGCTGGGACTACAGGCGCGCGCCACCATGCCCGGCTAATTTTTGTATTTTTAGTAGAGACGGGGTTTCACCGTGTCAGCCAGGATGGTCTCGATCTCCTGACCTCGTGATCCGCCCGTCTCGGCCTCCCAAAGTGCTGGGATTACAGGCGTGAGCCACCGCGCCCGGCCAATTCTACCTTCTTAAAAATTGGCTTTCCTTTAGAAAACTACTTCATTTGCCTTCTTTATGGTAGTCACAGTGCTATGCCCACCAACAATGACAAGTAAGAGACCTAAATAAGACCAATTAGATTATTCCTTAAAGTTTTATTTATGCCGAGAGAGAGACAGAGAGAGAGAGAAGGGCTCCTTTCCTTAGTAATTGCAATTATGAATTTAGGTTGAGTTGTCAGCAGCCTTAATATATAGCTGCATGGACAAATATTGACTGAGAGTTAAAGCCAAACATCATGGGATGCAAGCAAAAGGCATCAAAAGAAACAGATTCCTCAGGAGGTCTTATTGGGTCTCTGAATACAGCCATGCCTGAAAAACTCACTGTAAGACCCTTCATTGCTTTATATTATTTGAGCTGCTTTTCTTTCCCTTGTAATCAAAGGACCACTGACAAATACTGGCTAAGTAGAATATTAATAAGAATATACACGAAAAAGAAAAACATGAATATGCTTTTGGTATAAATTTACCTAAAATATTTTAACATGCAAATTAGATACCATGTAGTTTGTTAACTTTAATAGTTCCTCAAATTAAAATGTTTTAGTATGTAAATACAGATGGTTTCCAACTTTAAATGGTTCGACTTATAATTTTTTATTTGATTGTGATGTGAAAGCCATACTAATTCAGTAGAAATGTTTCATCAAATTTTGAATTGTGATATTTTCCAGGCTATTAATGTATGGTAAAATACTCTCTCATGATGCTAGGCTGCAGACCCCAGCCAGCCACAAGATCATGAGTGTAAATAAGTGATACTCTACAGTGTATTGTGTTGCTGACGCTTTTTGGATATTGTCTTTTCACATCCCATCATGTTTACAAAATGGCATTTTTGACTTACAGTGTTGTAAATGTATGATGTGTTTATCAGGCCACAACTCCATCATAAATCGAGCAGCCTCTATATACACAATATGTATATAATTTTGAGTATCTCTTCATATTAATGTAAAGTTTTATTTTACACTTCATTTGTGGCTACTTTTTTCCTTTAAATAAAGGCAATGAAACCAGATCAATGAGAGTACTTGAATTAATTCTAGTTGTAGAAAAGCTTGGATGATACCCTTACAAAGGAAACCCAAATAAAAACCTAACCAATTGAACTTTTGGGTTGTGTTTGGAACTATCTCTTTTCAATGAATTAACATGTGTTATGTGTTTATGATGACAAATATTAGACTATATTCTTTAAGGCTTATCATCAGCAAAGACTTTCCGGGTTATAGGACTTCTCTTTATGATTTCATCTTTCCAATTTTTCTGACTTATGCCTGTATTTTCTTTTATCTTTGCCTCCTATAGGTCTGGCTTCTTCTGTCCTCTCATTTCCTGGTCTCCTACTGACTCGCCTCTTATCTCTATGGCATGTGACCTTGGGCATGTCTTTCAGTGCCTGTCATTCTTCTTATACTTCACTTCCTGTCTCTGCCTTCCCTCCCCCTCCATCTTACTACTTCTCAGCATCCTTATATACAGGTGAAATAAAATCACTTAAAATTATCAATTAGATTTCTAGTAGGAAATTGAAAAGTACTATCATCATTTTCTTTATAATAAAGAATGTGACATGATATTTAAAGAAAATTATTTTTAGAAGTGTTCAATTCCACTTGAACACTACCGGGCAAACACCTAAATTTTCCTTTGTTCAGGTTGCAAAATGTGAGCATTTCCTAAATTTGCTGTGAACCCTCAGGAATAAAGCAAAAAACAATTTTCAAAATAAAAATGAACAATTTAATAGATTTAAATATGAATGTTTCCTAAAAAGGATATATTAATAAAGTTCTGTACTAATATATATAAATCCTAAATAAATTTCCATTTCAATACTTCCTTTTGATATTTCTGTCTTCTCTCTCTTGATATAGAAACAACCTGCATGTATGCAGTTCAGTTCCTTAGGCATATATGATTCATTCATCTTAATTTAGAAAATATCAAGGCCATGCCTGGGAGCAGAATTGGGGCATTATTTGTCTTTCGGCAGCGTATTTTTAAAATTGTTATGAATAAGTAAATTGACAAAATCCTTTCTAAGATGTACAGACATTTTCAATCAATAATGCACACTATCAGGACATAAAATCTTCCCTAACTTTTTGAGAAATCTTTACGTTTTCTTTAGGGAATAGATTCACACTTAGGTTTTATCACCTATCCTACACTGACGTTTGGGGGCTGAACTTTTTGAGGTAATGGGTGCCTCTGTACAGCTGCAACCCAGAATGATTCTTTCACTACTATGCCCTGAGCAAAAACAGTCTTGGGTTACAGGAGTGAATTAGTGCCTTCTCCTGTTTCCTGCACCCTTTATTTCATGACCTTATCCCATGTATAGGGCGAGTAAGAGTAGTCAGTTCATACTGATCTCAGCAGATAGCGATATAAACAGATACTTGGCTCATAGGGCATAACTTACATTTACTAAGAAAATGCTCAAAACCATTCATTGAAGTTTTTCTATACAGACTTTCAGGAATTTTAATGAGTACTTGCTTATAAAATGTTGACAACCTTAATCATAAAGTGGTAAAAACTAATATGCAATGTATCAAGGGAACAATACCTCCAACTGTTTTCCCAGAATATACTTTACAAATTACCAAAGCAGATAACTGACCACATTTCCTTTTTAATTTACCTCACTAGTTCTTTGAAGTTCTATTCACCATTAGCTCTTTGAATAACTGTTTTAAAACAGATGGGATGAACATCTGGATAACACAACATATATATTTTTTTTATCAATTGCCTCACTGATGTGAGGAACATCTCCTCCCACACACACCACCCTGTGCCTCATCTAATGTGTTAACACTTTGGATAATGAGAACAACAGAAGTGGATACTAAATATCTTATTCAAATTAACTCAAATCTGAGTGCAAATGTGGAAGTATCCATGCAATTCACGAACTGCTGCCCCAGACTGTGTTTTTAACAGCAGTGTTTGATGATGTTGGCACTCTTGATCATTTTCTGTTTTTGAAGTTACTGAGTTCAATGATCCATCCTTTGTGTTTATTTATCAGGACTGTGAACATCACAAACAATTTGAGATGTTTAGAATTAAATGTTGATTTTAGCTGGCAGAAAAAATGCAAAGTTAGGTAAATTGATGAGCATCATTTTCATGTATATATTATCTCTTTGTTAACAGTTATCTTTCCCAGACATAATGGAAATGGCTGAGGAGTATGGGTAAACTGAAGTATCTGAGTTCAAATTTATGCATGTTAAGATAGAATAATAAACATGCTACTCTTCTGTGCAGAAATTCAATGCCAAACTAATTCATGAAATACTGTACAATACTATACAATACAATATAGTTCAACTATATTGGCTCGAATCAATATAACTGGTAGTTTAAGTCACTGGTAGTTCAAAGAAAGACCAACTAGATTCTGAGCCTCAAACAGCATTATTAGGGACTTGCCTGCCTCTTTGTCTGGCTTCCTCTACGATGGCTTACTTTTCAGGCTGGGTTTCTTAATAATGTTGGTAAATATGATCACAACAAGCTCTAAAATTCTACACTCCTTGCCTTTCTGCCTGAATCTTGCCCCCCCAAAAATAATTTATTTCAGGCACTTCCAGTCCAAATTTTAAAACTGATACTAATTTTGTGTAGTTTGGGTCATGTTTATGACCTACTAATTAGTCACAGTTGCCAAGAAACCGAATGACCTAGGTAATATGCTCAACTCTGAAGCTAGGCTATCAGGTTTTGAAACCAATGGATTAAGAACAGGTAAGTAGCTGGGCGCAGTGGTTCATGCCTGTAATTCCAGAACTTGCGGGGGCCAAGACAGGTGGATCACTTGAGGTCAGGAGTTTGAGACCCGCCTGGCCAACATGGGGGAAACCCTGTCTCTACCCAAAATACAAAAATTAGCCTGGCGTGGTGATACACATTTGTAATCCAAGCTACTCGGGAGGCTGAGACAGGAAAATCGCTTGAACCTGGGAGGTGGAGGTTGCAGTGAGCCGAGATCATGCCACTGCACTCCAGCCTGGGCAACATAGCGAGACTCTGTCTCAAAAACAAAACAAAACAAAACAAAACAAAACAAAACAAAACAAAACAAAACAGTTAAGGGGTAATTCTCCAAAGGAAAACTATCATTATTTTATCAAACTAATGAAGGAAGCATGCTGGTCAGTCAAACCAACCTGTGTCTATAATCAAAGTGCAAGCTTTGCAGAGGAGCTTTTAATACATAACTGAAATATTATTCATAAGTAATTGGAGTATTCTGGGGAATAGATATTAGTAAAAGTTAAGGAAATAGAATGACAACAAGTGATAACAACATATATATATGTATATGTATCTCCTAACATTAGTCTAAACATAGAGTCCATACCACTGACAGCAGGCACTGGACATGGTTAGAGGACCATTCTCCTTACCATAAAGTGAGAACTCAGATATACTCTCCAACTAATTTAACCTTGAATCACATTTTACCTATGTATGAGCTATAGCATAATGTCAGAGCATATTAATCATAACCATATAGCAAGAATATTACAGATTAAAATTGTCATAGCTTATTTTTCTTGTCTTATAAGAAATGCTAATTAGGGTGAAATTCATGTTATAAAAGTATTTACATATAAATACTTCAAGAAAAAATTTGCTGGAGATATTAGCAGAACATGTCGTACTTAAAAAAATGCAAGAATTTGGTCTAGGCTGGGTTGAATATGTTTAGGAAAACACAGTCTTTTGAAGAAAAAGTAGATTGCAATATCTCAAATAATAACTAGTGACAATGAAGAAAATAAAGTGTTCTTATGAACATAAGAGTTGATATTTGTAACTTTTATGGCATAGCTGATGAATCATTCAGTAAAACCAAATGAAACAAATACCTTCAATCTCTCAAATCAAACACCATACTATTGAGATTTTAGCTATAACTTTATGTTTGTCTTGTTTGAAAAAATACTTCAAAACCCCAAAATATTTTTTGTTAAACCATCTTACATGGTTAAAACATTCCTTTTAGAGTAAACACTTATGAAATTCTTAAGCATTGTAACTTCATCATTCTAAAGGATTAAAATGTTTATTTTAAATTGAACATTTATGAAATGCTTAAGCATTTTAGCTAGCCTTTTTTAAAGTGCAATCATAAAAACAATGGTTTTATAATGAAAGAAATATTTCATAATTGCATTCATACATTTGAACTGTTTATACATGTGGCAATAAAATGAAATACAATTGTGAAACACATATTTTATATAAAGTATAGTTGCCAATGTTTTTGTTTTCTTGAAATAATCTTTTTATTCTTTTTCGCTTTTAAAGCATAAGTTTGTGTCACAATTTAAATTCATTCTAGAAACTTGCAGTTAATCCCTGATTACTTGTCATGATTAGATATTCAGCTAAGGTATACATCACAGACCATCTGTGAGAGGACACTATTTCATTTGTCTTCTGGGTAATAGGGAGGCTCATTTTGAGGATGAACCCACCCTGCTCTTTTGTGAAAGCAGGAGAGTGCCAGGTGGTTGGTAGAGATAAACACAAAGGGTAATACCGGGGAAAAAGAAACGCAGGGCTTTCCCAGCAAACCTTTACAATATTGGTGCACTACAACAGGTGGAAAACAGTGAGATGTCATATATGTGTGCAAAGCCAGAACACATTTCACAATTTGTAGCTCAGATTCCATGAGACACTAAGAATACAGATGTTAGGAAGTTTCAAATTTCAATAAGGGTAGAATGTAATACCACCTTGAAAATACCCTTTCTCAACTGCATGTACTTATATTGCTAACTGGAGAAAATAACTCTGGAGAGTAATCATGGAACTGTGTGGAGTTTATTTGGTTAATGGGACCAAACATACAGTTAGGTAGAAGAAATAAGTTCTAGAGTTCAATAGCACACTCTAAGGTGACTAGTTACTAATTCATTGTATATGTCAATATAGCTAAAAGAGAATATTTGAAATGTTCCCAAAACAAATAAATAATAAATCTTTGTGGTGATGGACAACCTAAATATGGTGAATTGATTTTTACGTGTGGTATGCATGTATCAAAATATCACATTTACTTTTTATGGATACATAAGAGTTGTACTATATAAATATATATATATATAGTATATAAATATACTATATAAATATGTACAACTCTTATGTATCCATTAAATGTAAATACATGAATAGATTAACAAATAGAACAAGAAAAAATGATTAGTACAGAATATTTAGCCTTTTTCTAAGTTTCATGAGAAATCTGCAGATTTCCTAGGGAAACTTATGATAGCCTATTAACATGCAAATATAACGTATTAGATCTAATTTTTAAAAGTAAAAAGGGATTTTTTTAATCGACTCGAAGAAGAAAAAGATCTTTTACCATGGTTTTCTTGTCCTGGGCTCAACATGTAATGATGAAAGCAAACTAGAATAGAAAGTAAGGCAAAGAAAAATAAATATATATTTTTTTCAGTGGTCTCTAAATGTCTTATAAACTTTGTTATGTCTCTTGTCTAGCTTTATTCCAGGCACAAACTGATCAAAAATTGGTTCACTGAATGAGCTTGCCATATCAGATATAGAAATTTTGAGATTTGCTAATTCAAAGTACAAGAACACAGTAAATAGTAAGAGAATACATGAGCCTGTGAGTATATTAAATTCACTGGCATGTTTTTTCATCTATTTCCCTTTAGAATCTATTACAAAACCTAGAGAAATGTGACTCCTATGAACCACTGTTATGCAAAGGTGTGCCAGATTCATTGTGTTTAGGGTAGAAAATATAGCTGGGAGTAAGAAAATAAAAAATAAAGATTTTAATTCCAAGAATGCCCCAAACTAAGTAAATGATGTATTACCAAATTTTTATTGCTGCATAAAATACCTCTTTGTGACAACCCAGTTTACAGGCAATTTCAGTGTTGACTATTAGAGAACTATTAAGCTGAGAAGGTCATGTAGCATAGGGTAAACCTCATGACCTCATCTGTTAGAACATGTGTTGATACGATAGACCAAGGAAAAAATATGCTCTGAGTAAGAGGTAAGCATGCAGGATCAATTCAAAATGGTCCCAGATGAAGATGCCTTCTGAGTATATGTCAGGGAAGTGAAGACAATGAATAGTTCCATGCAAGCAATTCAAGTGAGAAAGGGCAATGCGTAAGGCAAAATAAATGAGATAAGAAGCAACTGTTGCCCTCAAAGAGCCTGGTAAGAGGAAGAATTTTTGTAAGTCTTGCTTATTTTTCATTAGAAAAAAAATTTAGAGGCAAATCTTTTTATTTAGGCATATTATAAAAATATTTCTGTATCCTAACTATGAATGAGAAAATAAGCATAAACTCAAATTATAAAAAGATCCAACAGGCAAAAAGCTATGACATACAACATTTGTTTGAGGTTGATACTTGAAAAGAAATTACCCACAAGTTGTGGAGAAAATAAATAGAAATCTGTTTTTCTCCACTGCTTTAAGAATCTATACTAATTTCAACTCTCTTAGACAAAATTTCACATAGGCCACGTGCATAAATATTTTTATGTTGCCATTATACCTTATATGGCAAGTAATTCCTGTATCCATACTAACTTTACTCTGTTGAGCTAAATACCTTTTTAGCAAAAAATAGAATGTATCAAAATCGTAAATGCTGACATTTATTGGGAAAATGGAATAAATTACATGCGCTATAATTCTCAAACCTGTTTAGTGCAAAATATCTTAAAAGATGAAAAAAGTTCAGAGAGAGCAATCACAAATGGATAGAAAGGAAAATTCAAAATGATGTCAAGAAAAAACTGGAATATTAGCTCCAGGAGAGCAAAAACTTTTGTCTTTTATTTTTTAAACTACTCTCACCCTGGTACCCAGAATTTTGTTTGGACATAGTAAGCACTCAATAGATTTAGTGAATGAGTAAACACATTTTAAAACATCAAAAGTATTACCTGTATTACAGTGAAAAATACCTAATGACCTTCTACAATGTGCCATTCTTTATGCAAAGTACTTTATATATAACAGCCTGTATAATCACTGTTAAAACCACAGAGAAAGATAATCATTTATTGATGAGAAATTAGAAGTTCAGATCTATTAAGAAAGTCATCCAAAGCCATGCTGACTTCAAAGTACAGACTCTTTACTTTAGGACATGGCATAACCTCCAGAGGGTAATGATATTGAGAAAGCTTTGCCATTGGAAACACAATTTCATAGACAAGAAGAGAAGGTTATGTTCACATTACTTTTCATGCTTCACATGGCAATAACATTCTGATCTTTAATGTTAGGATTTATAACTTTACACTAAATACTCCATGATCTGTTGTCTAAATGGTAACACCAAGAATCATCACTTTTCCTCTGTAATAAGATGTGCAGTGTCTTTGTGTGAAATATAGCTATATACATTGTATATCTTCTAGTTGAGAAAATTAATCATGCAATGTATCTGGAATAAGAAAAAAATACAGCAACAATAAAAATAGGACAATAAAATGAGTAATACGTTTAAATTTCTATTGCCAGAAAAATTGTTCAAAATAGAACTTATGAAAGAGAAATAGTGTAGCACAAAACAACAGCAGAGGAGAAATGATGAAAACAATGAGAGAAAGAGATAAATTAGTGAAATAAAGTTGAAAAAAGTTTCATTTTAACATCATTGCATTTTGTGAAAAAATTTTACACTTTTACATTAAAGAGTTTAAGCGTATACTAAATTGAATTTCTTACTTGATGCTTCTGCTTTAAATTATATCAACGCTTAATTACCATTTAAAGCTTATTATTAGTTAATTTATATATCATTACTAATGTCAGCATCTTGTCAGGCATAAGAGTTAAATATAAATTTATATTCCCCAGGTGAATGCAATTGATACAAGAAAAAAAAAAAGGAGTTCCTTTCTCTAAATGTATCACATAGTGATACAACTTTTTATACACTACAAATAGACTGGGTCAGAAGTTAAAAAAAGTAGTTTGTAGGGCCAGGCGTGGTGGCTCACGCCTGTAATCTGAGTACTTTGGGAGGCTGAGGCGGGCGGATCACAAGATCAGGAGATAGAGACCATCCTGGCTAACACGGTGAAACCCCATCTCTACTAAAAATACAAAAAATTAGCCAGGCGCGGTGGCAGGCGCCTGTAAGTCCCAGCTACTCCAGAGGCTGAGGCAGGAGAATGACGTGAACCCCGGAGGTGGAGCTTGCAGTGAGCCGAGATAGCACCACTGCACTCCAGCCTGGGCGACAGAGCGAGACTCCATCTCAAAAAAACAAAAAAAAAAATCTATCCACTATACACCTTTTTGTGTTCTTAATATAATCTTCCCACTGAATACACAATCATATTTACTAACGTCTATAACCATAAATGCTATATTTTAACATTATAGACTTAGTAGGGTTGTTACTTAAACAGAATACATGACAACATCTTCATGTTCTCTAATCTGCAGACACCTTTTCAGGCTTTTGCAAAATACGTAACTGTTTGGCTCAAAATTTATTACGAGTTCAAAAATATTTTTAAATACTGAATACAAACAGAGAGTATTGAAAAGCTATTTTAAATATTCAAGAGGACTGGAGAAAACTCCTCCATTAATTTTAATGATGAAATTAAAACTGAACCTATTAAAACTAAACCTATTAGTCATCAAGAATGATGATTAAATGAAAGTATCAAACAGAATCTATGAGTCCATGCTAATAAGTGTTTAGATCAATTAATAAATGAGGGAGTAGAGGAAAAGCCTCCCATTTAGAAGAATTCCAATTAAATTACATAGACAGTCCACACTAAAGGAGGGAAAGCATAAATCCTTACATCTTAAGTGTGCCCTGGTGTAAGAAACTTCTTTCCTAAGAGTACAGTATGGGAAGGGGGAAGAACAGTGACATCACAGTTGAGAAATCCGACAAGTCCTATTTCATCCAGGAGATCAAGGTCAAATTTAATAGTCATAAATTACATTGGTAGTATGTACCATTGATACAATGTGAGGAAAATAACAAATTCCCTCTGTAATATACCTCCCCCAAGCACTAGTCTTATCAATAGGAAAAGCACCAACAAATCCCAACACATGGTATGTATTCTACAATATCTGACTAGCATGCCTCAATACTGTCAAGGTCATCAAAAACAAAGTCCAAGAAATTGTCATAGCCATGAGAAGCCCAAAGAGTTAGGACAACTAAATGTAACATAGTGTCCTGGTGCCACCTTGGTATAGATAGAAGACATTACATAAAAACTTAGGAAATATGAATAAACTATGAATTTCAGTTAATAATAACGCATCAATATTTATTATCTAATTTTACCAAATATACCATGCTAATGGAAAAATGTTACTAATAGGTGAACCTGTATGCTGGGGTCATACGGGGATTTTCTGTACAATCTCCTCTATTTTTCTGTAAATCTAATTTTTTTCTATTAAAATGTCTATTAATAAAAATAACTTAACCAAAGAGTCTAAATATGAATGTGATTATATGCAGGTCTGAAGGGCATAACAGCATGAGAGCATAGAGAGAATGCAAATTACACAGTCCAGAGGATTTGACAAGAAGTCTTCTTGCTTTGCAATAAGCTGCTTGGGCACACTTAGATAAGTCATTTAAGCCTCTTTTCCCTGGTTTGCTATGAAATGAATGAACAGGACTACAAGAGTTCTGAGGCCCCACTGAGCTCTGTTGTCCGTTGATTTACCTACAAAATGATGTCACCCTCAGAGAGATTACAATCTACTTGAGAAAGTAAACTTGCTAACATTGAAACAAATCAAAACATATTTAGGAACATAGTTCAAGGCTGGGATCATATTCTATGTAGTTCATATTCTCAGGATTTCAGAGAAACTAAGCAGCATTATGAAATACTTAAGAAGTAAGCGAGACTTAAGGACCATTTTGAAAAATTGGAAAATATGAATGAAGAAGTGAAGGACACCCCATATCCCAAATAATTGGAATCTGACTCTTACAGCAAATTCTCCTTTTGCTTCAGTTTTAGGTTCTGAATGGGGTAAAATATTCCTTCAAATCCCTCTATGCTTTATTATCACATATAGCATGAAACCCAAGTGCCTTACATGGTGTATCCCACCTTCCTTGACATTGTCCTTGTTAGTTTTCCAAACCCATGTCATGCCACTTGTAAAGTGATCTGCATTAGCACAGTCCTGAGCTGTCTTTAGTTTCCTGCACAGACTATAGTTTTAGTTTGAAACCTAAATAGTGTTCTGTGCCAGGACAGGACTCTGTCTGGGAAAGAAGTGTAAAACTTTTGGACTTGGTTTGG
Organism: Homo sapiens; assembly: GCF_000001405.40. Classification (NCBI taxonomy): domain Eukaryota; kingdom Metazoa; phylum Chordata; class Mammalia; order Primates; family Hominidae; genus Homo; species Homo sapiens. The sequence continues at coordinate 54,768,972 of NC_000010.11, forward strand.
AAATGCTCGTTCATTTTAATTCCTCAGTTTGTTTTGATTATCTGAGCCTGCAGAAATGATGCACCCAACATTTCTCTCAATCATTCAAATGATTTAAAACAGATGAAATTTTTGTATATAATATATCAGATTTCAGTGAGTTGTTAACTTCTGTATAGGAGCCAACAGGAATTTTAAAAATCTGTTGTTAAACACTAATAATAATCAAAGTTGCAAGACACTTCATGTTGAGAACTACAAAGACACAGCCATAGATAAAGTTAACAGCGACCTGGTGTCACTGCTCACTCCAGGGTGTAAGCTTATTGAATAGAATGGCAGGCATGCTTGACAGCAGAGTACGCAATGCCTTTTTTTTTTTTTTTAAATCTCCCACTCTTTTTCTATTTTATCAAGCATACATAATTAAATTTGTTAAGTGAAAGGATGCTTAAAACACTTGCAGGGATGTTTCTCAGGAACATCCTGAGATTTTTTTTTTTTTCAAAAATTAGTGACTTTAAAGAAACCAGCATCCTTTGCAAACTCACCAAATTAGTGTGTGCGTCACCAAGATAGACCATATTTTCTTATGGGTGGGATGCTAGCATGCAACCTGGGATCCCAAAATGTGATATATTTACAGGAAACATCATCACAAAATGCCATGAGAAAGCAGACTGTGTACAGAATCCATTCTGCTAAAGGTGGCATCAGAGCATCCATCTTTGGGAAGTAGTTGTGACAAAGTTTCTAGAATCCAGTGCCTGAGGGTCAGCAGTCCAGCTCTGGTGTCTGTATCCCTCAACAGTATTTCTTCCTGCATAAGCCAGTTAGGGTGAAATCTGTTCTTTGCAACTCAGAGCACTGATAGACAATCCTTCTTTTCTTCTGGTGATACGTTTCTCTAATTCTTTAGCAAATACCTTTTTGTCTGTAGTTCTCAATTTTTGGTTCCCTCCTTAACTGAAAGTAAAAACTAATACTCTGTTGTCCAGTATTGTAGTCTAAACACATATGTATCTATTTACATTAAATTAGTTCAAATTGAATAAAATTAAAAATTTACTTCTTCAGTCATCCTGAACGCATTTTAACGGCTTAATAGCAACATGAGCTACCAGCAACAACATCAAACAATGCAGATACAGAAACATTTCCATTACTGAAGAAAGTTCTATCAGAAAGAGCTGCTCTAAGGCATAGAAAATTTGACTAGGGCATATGTTTCTGCATCTACATCAGAGAATCCCCTTTTAATGAGTTAACTGATTCTGTTAATGGTTTCAAATTATGACCTTGATACCATGACATATTACATTCATCTTTCACTCTATTATTCATTTTGATTTTGCAAGTAAGTTTACAAATGATCAGATTAGATTCAGAGCTCATTTTGTTAGAATAACAAAAATTTAATCTCATTACTACTCATTCCTAAACATTGAAGTTTTCCTCCCAGTTACCTTCTCATGAATGATATTAAACTCCAGAGTAAAATCTGAAGGCTGACACTAACAGAGCCATCCTTTTCAGAAAGTACATCCAACTATGTTAAAGTGTTCATTTTAGTTCAACGATACCTGAAATGCAGGCTGTGAGGTGGACATTTAGGATATGTACCTGCCTAGCATACATTTCCCATCCTTTTACTAAGAGTACTCCAATTTTTGAAGTCTCCCCTAGTATACAAAGTCTTGGTACTTCTGTCAGTCAAGTTATTTTCTCACTCTCCCCTGGCCTTGTGCTTGACTTAGGAAACAATTAACCAATTGGATTATGCTGTAGAAACTTACAAGGAGGGAAATTAAATGAAGTTACTTAATCTCAACGAAATTACCCAAATATATGCTCATGAGTTCCCCTTCACTAGACCCCCAGAGCTGCCCTTATTTTGTCCTTCCTGAGTTTTGATTGTTCAAAATTTACTTTGCATATGTGTCCTCCTGCAAGATTTTAATGATAATTTTTAGATTTTGCTTTTAGAATAGCCAGTTGGCTTTTGCAAAAGTATTAGATGATATCAATGTGCCCATATTTTTACCTACTTGGGAACTTTTTCAAATTACATCTGTTCTTGATATTCTGAAATGCCACGCTTACCCCTTTCTTATCTGTCTTGGTAGCCTACCACACTATTGACACACTCATCATGAACCAGATAGGTACTTTGAATTCATCTGCCTGAGAATAATTTAACCTTCATGGTCTATTTCTGCCAAAATACTGCTTTAATACCCCCAATATTTGTTAACTCTATTTGAAGTTAAATTTCTATCTGTTTGTGCTTTGAGAGATGTTGGCAAAGAGAAAGGAGGAAAATAAACTATTTTAGATAGGCCTAGCCTTGTCAAATGTGTTGGAGACTTTATAGAAATCATGTTGTCAAAGTGATCAATTTAAAGAAAAACATACTTATGTCTTCTTATTTTCTGTATCAGGATGTAACTGAATATCTTTTGGTTAGACATTTGATCATATGTTATTTTCCCAAACCATCATTTCAAGGTTATTATCATAAGACAAATCACTCTAAAATCTAATAGTTCAAGCCAGTCAGAATTGAGTGATGAAAATATACAGCTTTATTTATAAGTACATTTTATCATTAGGCTTGAATTGGTTCAGACGTCATGAAAAATTTTGCATGCTAGTAGTAATTCCTCAAACTCCAAAGGGATTAGAGTTTAACAAAATTGCCAATCCAAAAAAAACACCAAGCAAACAGACATTTATTTTAATAAGTACAAATTACACATAATTATAAATATTCCTTATACTAATATTTAAACTCAGCAGACAGAGGACAGGTTGAGGTTTGATTTATATTCACACTTCCGTCTTAAAATTTTCAAAAGACATCTTTTATTTGCTTACACATGAAGAATGATCAGTATCACTATCTGAATATAAATTAATAAGTGAAAGTATCTGTATATGTAAATTCAGGCAAACTCAGGCTTAAAAATCTACCTTATTGTACCACATTGCAAAATAGAAAGGATTGTAATTCTTTATAAGTATTCGGTGGAATTAAGTGCAATGCAAAACATGCTATGAATGTCAGCTGTTATATGGAAAACATCTACCAGAAAAGCCACCCATGAGTCCACTCAGATAATAATTTTTCCTCTTGTCTGTTTTATAAGCTGTTGAGGAATATATAAAAGAAATGGAAATTTACAAATTTCAAATAAATGAAACATACATATTTTTATAGCTATATAATATTACATACATTTAAATAGTTACTTGTATTTTATTGGCTCTTCGGCTACATTCCAAAACTTAAGCAAGTTAATTTAGGAAGAGCCATTAAATGCACGTTCTCAGGCATATTTTCCTACTTGTAATGTTCATGTTCAAACATATTTTTCAATATGTAAAAGTAAAGTCTTTGTAAAATAAATAATTTAAGACATTCCTTGTATTATAACTGCATTCAGAATGTATAATACAATTATGGCTTGGAAAAATCACCTTAAAATTTTGTCTTATCTTTTTGTTGTGCAGAAGCTCCACTCAAAAGAAGACATACATGCGTCCAACAAACATATGAAAAAAAGCTCAACATCACTGATCATTAGATAAATGCAAATCAAAACCACAATGAGATAACATCTCATTCCAGTCGGAATGGCTCTTATTAACGTTCAAAGAAACAACAGATGCTGGTGAGGTTGTGGAGGAAAGGGAAAGCTTTTACACTGTTGGTGGGAGTGTAAATTATTTCAACCATTGTGGAAGACAGGGTGGCGATTCCTCAGAGACCTAGAGGCAGAAATACCATTTGACTCAGAAATCTTGTTACTGGGTATATACCCAAAGGAATATAAATCATTCTACTATAAAGACACATGCATGCATATGTTAATTGCAGCCATATTCACAATAGCAAAGACATTGAATCAACATAAATGACTATCAATGATAGACTGGAGAAGGAAAATGTGGTACATAAATACCATAGAATACTATGCAGCATAAAAAGGAATGAGATCATGACCTTTGAAGGGACGTGGATGGAGCTGGAAGCCATTATCCTCAGCAAACTATCATAGGAACAGAAAAGCAAGCATTTAAAGTGGGAGCTGAATTATGAGAACACACGGACACATGGGGAACAACACATACTGGGGCCTGTCCAAGGGGTGGGGGGCAGGGAGAACATCAGGAAGAATAGCTAATGGATGCTAGGCTTAATACCTAGGTGATGGTATGCATCTCTGCAGCAAACCACCATGGCACACATTTACCTATGTAACAAACCTGCATATGCTGCACATGTACCCCGAACTTAAAAGCTGAAGACTTTTTTTTTTCTTAGAGGGAGAAACTAGATCTAAATGAGTCATAAAATACAAATGAATACAAATGCTTAATTCTCCTAATACGTCATTTTTAATAAATTAAAACTATGCTTATCAGTTCATGTGGGATTGTCTAAAAATTATAAATGAAAGATTTAAATTCTCTACCTTCACAAATCAGGTACAGCTAGCATTGATGTCATTGAGATTTGGCTGATGGTACATCATTAGATTCTATAATTAATCACCAACACCTGCAGATGCATTCTCAACATGAAATTACTTTTGATATCACATGGAGAAGGAGAGATCTCACTAAATCTTTTAACTATGAGTACTTTGGAGGTAACAGAGATGATTGTCATCTTGTCACACTGAGACATGTTGATTCTAGCACTTTTGGATTCTTCCATGAATATGTTAAACCATTACCAATAGGTCAATAACCTGCCCTTTTCACCCCTGACTAGAAACACTATTTTAAAAGAGTTCTTATTGATTTTTTTCTAGCTGTTTTTATTTTTCTCACTTTCTAAAATACCAAGAAAATATCATTCAATGCTGCAAAAATAACCTAAAGAAAAAAAATCTAGGAGCATCATACAATAAAAATGAACTGATTTCTTATGAAGTCAGCTTCAAAACTGTGTAAGGCCCAATTCTTATCTCTGACAATCTGTTACTTAACATTTGCTGCTTAACACTTCATAAAAGTCAAGTCTAGATGAACTGGCATACTTCATAGGCTTTTTTTTTTTTTTTTTTTTTTTTTTTTTTTTTTTTTTTGAGACGGAGTCTCGCTCTGTCTCCCAGGCTGGAGTGCAGTGGCGCGGTCTCGGCTCACTGCAAGCTCCGCCTCCTGGGTTCACACCACTCTCCTGCCTCAACCTCCCGAGTAGCTAGGACCACAGGCGCCTGCCACCACACCCAGCTAATTTTTTGTATTTTTAGTAGAGACGGGGTTTCACCGTGTTAGCCAGGATGGTCTCGATCTCCTGACCTCGTGATCTGTCTGCCTCGGCCTCCCAAAGTGCTGCGATTACAGGCTTGAGCCACTGCGCCCAGCCACTTCATAGTCTTATAAATAATTTACTGTAATACTCATTAAGGGCAGTAAAACAATCAGCAGTTACTACACACTGACAGATTCAAGTATAGAGTGAATGAGATACTATGTATCTACTATATCTTGAAACTAAAACATAAATAAGTGTCACAAATTTAAAATATACATTTAAAAAAGAATAGACACACACACAAGCACACATACATACAATCACATACACATCCAAACACAGGCGTATTGTTATACATGCATATAAATTAATATTAAATAAAACTTATGTTTTAACAAACTCTGTATACTTAAATTCACCAGTGGTTAGTTATCCCAGGCAGTATTACCTACTAAGCCTTAGGGACCATTATTTTCATTTAAATTCCAGTAGTAGGTAAAACCTAAATGTCAAAACTTAGCACAATGTTTAATGAGTGGATAAATATTAGAAACCACGTCTCCTGAAATCTTAGGTAAGTCATTATTAGGGGCTTACTACTTTCAGTACCTGACATTTACTCCTTTTTTTCATATTAGTTTTATTTTTTATTAAATGTCCTCCTGCCTTGAAGATAATCTATTTAATAAAGAAGAAAAAAAAGTGCTTTTTTACTTTGAGGTTTACTTGAACATAAGCATCACCTTTGTAATTCCACACAAGCGTCACCTTTGTAATTTGTCCTTTAAGACAATTAGACTGTTTTATATCAATGTATTATTAAACTTGATTGCACTTATGCAGGACATATTATAAAAGAATTATGAGGGAAGTACACAGATGCTGTTAGAGTCTACTAAAAAATAGATTATTTACTATTGGAAACCCAAAGGAGAGAATGCCTCAAAAATGTGGTAATAAATACCTGTGGGAAAATCTTAAGTTGAAGAATAATCCTGGACATAATTTTATTTACTATTGTTATTATATCTTTATCCTAACGAGATTAATGACTGATGTTTTCACTGCAATTTCAGTTAATAGGAACTCTATACAATGAAATTGCTTGATCAACTGATAGTTTTTTAGTTTATTGTTTTATTGACACATAATAGTTATACATGTTTATGGAGTACATAGTGATGTTTAGATACACACAACGTATAGTAATCAGATCAGGGTAATTAGCATATCCATTATCTCCAATATTTATCATTTATTTGTGTTGAAAACATTTAGTATCTTCTAGCTATTTAAAAATAGATATTATTGTTAACCATTGTCATTCTACAGTGCTATAAAATATTAGAACTTGATCATTCTATCTAGCTGTAATTTTGTGTTCCTTAACAAATATCTCGGCCGGGCGCGGTGGCTCACGCTTGTAATCCCAGTACTCTGGGAGGCCGAGGCGGGCGGATCACGAGGTCAGGAGATCGAGACCACGAGGAAACCCCGTCTCTACTAAAAATACAAAAAATTAGCTGGGCGTGGTGGCGGGCGCCTGTAGTCCCAGCTACTCGGAGAGGCTGAGGCAGGAGAATGGCGTGAACCCGGGAGGCGGAGCTTGCAGTGAGCCGAGATAGCGCCACTGCACTCCAGCCTGGGCGACAGAGCAAGACTCCGTCTCAAACAACAACAAACACATAAAAAAAACAAATATCTCCACATCCTTCCTTTCCCTCTAACCTTTCCAGCCTGTAGTAACCTGTTTTGCATTTTACTTCTATGAGATCAACTTATTTTAGCTTCTGCATATGAGTAAGACCATGCAGTGTTTAACTTTTGGTTCTTATTTCACTTAACATAATTTCCTCCAGTTCCATCCATGTTGCTGCAAATGACAGAACTTCATTTTTTATGTCTGAATAGTATTTCATGTGTATATGTGTCATATTTTCTTTATTCAGTCATCCACTGATAGACATTTAGGTTGATTCCATACCATGACAATCACGAATAGTGCTGCAATAAACATTGGGGTACAGATTTCTCTTCGATGTACTGATTAATTTTCCTTTGGATAAATGGTCAATAGTGAGATTACTGGTATGATCATTTTAATTTAAGGAGGTATTCATCAAACTGGTTGATAAAATTAACTAGTCCCAGCTTAAGATATCTGGGATCTAGAAGCACTGTTTATATACTTTGCATGAGACACAGTTCTAACCATACAATTAAAAAAAAAAAAGATTCCAAGCAGTTCATACCTGTAGCCTCAGACTTAAGCTTACCCTCTAATTAGTTAAACATTAGGGCAATGATTTTCTGCCTGTATTTTATAAAATGTCTTCATGCTGGTGGTAGAGTGAATGTGGAGGAAAAGAACATATTTAAGTGGAGGCCATTCATGATATAAGATACCATGGAAAGCTTGAGTTTTCAGTTTAGGCTACAGAAAATGCAAATAAATAAATTAAACAGTTGGTTTAAAATATTACTACAAGTAGGATTTTCCCCTGAAGGAAGGCTTGGTTTTGTCATGTTTTATGCTCGGTTTGTTAGGTTTTATTGTTGGCTTCATATGTCTCTTGCTGATGGGAGTATGTGACGTCACCACACGGCATAGAGAGGACCAAGAAGCTGTCCCAGTATCATAACAGAAGGAGACTGGAGGCAATGTGAGAAATAAAAATGCAGAGTTAAGAGGAGGTTTATACAAAGAAAGAACTAGGGAGTGCGAAGAAGAGACATAATTTAAAAGAAATGTTTTCTTTTATTATGGAAAAATATGCTGTTTATAGTATAATGTGAATCCTCTTCTCATTATTTTTACTCAAACTTCATTAAAATATCAATTTCTGGTTGATGCGTTGTGCTTTTTAAGAGATACCACGAAAGAGGACTTAGGTGGTTATTCTGGAATATGGGTATTTACGATGAGTAAGGTGACTATTTTCATGCAATCATTTCAGAATCAGCACTGTGAGCTGTCCTGCCTTAAGACAATCGTTGCGCACATCTATACAATACTATCTATTTCACTCCACCACCATACCAATCATCGAGCGCTGGCTGCTCAGCAGGGTGCGGATGTGTACTTGACCATAGCCATAGTGGTTCTCTTGAGATGCAGACAGTTTCTACACTAAAAATGAGTTGACGTTTAGGAGAAAGAAAGAACAATCTTGGTGGTATCCATTTGAAAAAGGGAAGCGGAACTTCAAGGAAATATTGGCACAAAAACTAAGACTGCTTACAAGAGGATTACCTCATCTGGGTTAGAGGAGGATTTCAAGGATATGAGGCGCTCTCATCACAATAAAGCAGACATTCCCAACAGTCACAGAAGCAGGCAAATGAAAGATGATGTAAACTTATATAAGACTTGAGTTGCTTCATCTTAAGCATCCATCCAATTTCAGTACATGGGTTCTTTTGCTGTTTCAAAGTTCTTTTTTTTTCTTTTAGTACTGTACATTTCCATATAAACTTTCATTCAGAGTTTTTACTTTTAAATAATTTCTGTAGCTGCCTTTTGTACTTATTTGAAGAATAATTGAAAAGAAAAAAATTGAGAAAATTAAAACAGATTTCTTTTTGCCAAAAGAAAGTATTGGTAATTTATAGCAAAGCTGGAAACGAGGGCCTCTTAAGAGTTTTCCAAAGTATGTCAGCTAGTAGCATGGGGTTTTAGATCTTTTCTTTACTGCAATCAATCCTGCTGGAAATATGAAGTCAGTTCAGAAGATCAGTAGAGTTGAGCTAGCAAAAGAATAAAAATCCTGAAAGGAGTTATTAATTATGTGCATACTGTGTGCAGACAGAATCAGAAGATACTGGCCAAGACATTATGAAACAAGGAAGAATTCACGAGAAACTTTGAAATTGCCATATGCAAGATGCAAGTTCCCTTTACCCAATTTTGCACTCATCTTCTGATGCTAGAAAAGCAAATGAGAATGTTGCTAACACAAATGTTATGTATTTGCACTGATCGAGATGGGTGAGTTCAACAAGGGAATCCAGTCTCAGTGTGGATTACTGATAAATGTCCTTGCTTTTGTGCTAGCCTAAATTTCTAGTGTTGAGAGACACATTTTGTGTAGATTCCCTATTTATATTACATTAACTAAGTATCTTGAGGATATGATGATTTCAGTAAATGTCATTCACACAATCCATCAATAGTCCCGGGGTGGAGGGGCGTTATCAGCTATTGTTTCTCTGAATAAGTATTATCAAACATTGCTTTTCTGCTATACAGAAGCACTATGGAATGAAACCACAAAGTCTGTAGACAATGTTTTTGCACACTGTAAAAATTTTATAAAGTCAGGTTTCATTTAATTTACACTTTTGTTTCTGGTTAGTGTTTTTACTATAATTTGGGAATAATGTACAGTGGTAAATCATTGTGAAGTAACACTGCATTCTCCTTAAAATTGGGATGTATTCAGGCATATTAATTATTTCAGGATTCATTAAATATAATTCTAAAAGAGTTTCTCTTTAAATATTTATCTACTCTTGACTGGTCGTATTGAATCTCACATTCATTACTAAAATAAATTTAAGAGGCCTTGATAATTGCAGACCAAATATATAGTTACAATTGTCGCTATTTATAAAGAGGTTCAAGAACTCTAACCTATAATTCACATTAAGTTGAGGCATCAAAGAAAAAAATACACAAAAAAGGCATGTTGGCAGTGATGGTGGTACTACCAAAGGTAGAGTTGGGTTTCATTCCTTTCCTGTTCCAGCCTATCTATTGCTTTTAAATAACTTATGCTGCTCGTGTGTGAAGGGATTTCTCCTTTTACTCACATATTTACAACCTCTAATTCAGGAGAGAGATTAGAGATAGAGAATCTAATACCCTTTTAAGTTGCAGGACTATAAAAACAAAATAGGCCTCACTCCACTTTTCTAAGGCAAGATTCTAGGAAAGGATAAATATATTCATGAGTCAAAATCCACTACAATGAAATAAGTAACCAAGGGTAAATATATTCATGAGTCAAAATCCACTACAATGAAGTAAGTAACCTAGGTTACTGACCAGAACTCTGCATTGAGGATAAAGCCAAATTCTTTATAACCTCAACTCTGTCAGAGTTGGTAGTAATCAGGACTAGGATTCAGTAATAAGCACTTTTATTTAATATATATATTTATCTGTCTCTCTCTCTCTATATATATATGTATATATATATATATACACACACATATGTGTATATATATATACACTCATATATGTGTGTATATATATACACACATATATATGTATATATATACACACATATATGTGTGTATATATATATACACACACATATATATAGCATTTCTTCCCCTTTCTGTTCAATACAGCACACTGATTCTTTCCTACTATGTGATGCTCCGGGCTGGTATGTAAATCAAGAGGCCTGCCTTCCCTAGCCAAAATGTGAACACAGCAGAGAGTTAGCAGGGTGTAAATGAATCCTACTGTCATTCCCAATAATTTGAACTGTGAGTACAATGACACAAGAATGAGAAAAATAAATGGACTTCATTCATTCAATTGGTGGTGCTCTATCAACATTGTCGATTTGTGCTTCCTACATAGACCCCTGAGGCTTTACTGCAGCATTTTTATAAACTAGTCTCATTCTCAAACCTTCTCAACATTTGTGTGGGCTAATATTCTCCAGAAAAGATCCTTTTATGATTAAATTGGCCACTATTGGTTTATGTTCATGCAACTACAGAATCATAATTTATAGCACATGGCAAGCATATAAGAAATATTTGCACTTATTCTTATAAACAGCAGTGGTAAATTCTACATTGTTTAGCCCTTTGGGGTGGTTTGCTTGAATTCTATATAGAATTACAAAATGTTCCGCAGAGAAGTTCTCAAATAATTCTTGCTGTCATTCATGTAAGATAAGTAAGACACTACTTCGTGTGAGGTGCCACACATAAGTTCTAGGGAATACTTCATCACTTTTGAGCAAGCCAGCAAGAAAGCCCTTACCACAAGGAGGATATATTTTAAGAGAAAGAGAAATGTGAGTCAATCAGTTTTGATAGCTTATATGCAATGGACAGTTATCAGTCTGAGCTTACATTACATTTACTAACGTAAATACAAAAATCTTTGGGACATGGTGAGAGATGTCAGCATTAGCTAGCTGTGGGTCAGCTGTTTACTGCAAAACCTGCAAGGCTTGGGAACTGGGAGAACTGTTTGTTCTCAAGAGGAGACGTGAAACCCGAAATATCTCCCTTGAGGATGGGATTTTTTAATGTACAATTCTTTATATTTTTCACTAAAATCTATGTAATTTTCTTTCACAATCAACATAATCTGACAAAAATGAGCTGTTCCTCATAATATTGAGACATTCTTGGAAACATTTTGAGGAAGGAAAGCTTAGGAAAACACTATCAAGTTTCTGGCCAAAGAGTAGGGCTCCACACATCAGGATTTGAGGTATGAATAAAAATGAGGCATTTTTACACTCATCAGGTGATAAAGCAATTGTGTAAAAAAAAAAAAAAAAAAGAAAATTCTAGAATATAAATTATCTTTTAACGAATGAGAACAAATTACTTTGGAGATATTTGGTAGCTTCCTTAATCATAGTAGCTTTGAATGATATAGATGCCCGATTGTCAACAGAGATCAAAACTAAATCAGAAACTTAAAATGGCCCAATAAAATGTAAAGCTCCTTAGAAAAACAGCATTGCTATAAAGTCTCAAATACAGTAATGTGGGAGAAAATGACACGCACAGCCTATGGTAAGGGATAAGAGCTGCAATATGGAGAAGTTTATCTTGGATTCTATTTTATTACCTCTACCTAAGCCACTTTTTAATAAAAATCATCAACAGTTCACACCATAAAACATTTTGGACCTAGCCCAAGTGAGAAAAGTCAAATATATTTATATATGTTTTTTGGCTTTTTAAGAGATTATTTATTTTTTATTATACTTTAAGTTCTGGGGTACATATGCAGGACGTGCAGGTTTGTTACATAGGTATACACTTGCTATGGTGGTTTGCTGCACCCATCAACCCATCATCTACATTAGGTATTTCTCCTAATGTTATCCCTCCCCTAGCCCACCATCCCCCGACAGGCCCTAAGTCAAATATATTTTATATGAGATCCATAGTACTCACAAAATTTAATACATCTATGTAGACATTGTCAAATATAGGAAGACACTTAACATATTTCTTTGAATATACTGACCCTTTTTATATATTAATGCCTGTGTATCAAAGTACATTTCATACACAGTTTATCTTCTCCTGAAATGTGATTATAAAATTGATACTCTACAACTGATGAAAAGCTAGTAATTGAAATGAAGTCATTCTAATGAAGCAATAACACTAACATAGTTTTCCAATAAATATACTGTGAATGACTTAGCCTATGGAAAAAGGTTTTGAATAAAAATTATTATTTTCTAAATATCTGAACTGTAAGATATTAGTTCTCTAAATCTATCTTTTTTCTTTTCCCTGGATTTGAATATCATAGCTCACTAAACATCTTTACAATTTGCTTCCTCTAAACACATTCTTTCTTCTGGAAATAAAATGGTGCTTTGAAAGAATATTACCAATAGGAAGACATATTTCAAACACGAGGTTCCTGCTTTCAATTACCTAACAGCTGGTACTATGCGTTTACATTTAGAAAGACAAAACCTTACAAAGATGTATTATGCTTTTTCAAGTAATTTAGATTTGTCACAGTGCAAGAAAAACTCATTGGCAAATAATTCAAATAGGCTTGTAAGTCTCAGAGATAAGGGGCTTTAAAAAAAGCAAAATACATTCTTTAATAAGCAAAGTTATGAGACAGATCTATAAAATAGAATTGAGAAATCTTTCAAAGTATTCCATGCAGAACAGCTGATTTAGTAACCTACTGTGAAAAGAACTATTGATACTCCAATAGCAGCGGTGATACAGTGAAAAGGTAAATTTTGAGGATGCGATATGACTGCTTGATCTAGTAGTACAATACTGTGAACAAGCAGGGACTTTGCAGCTAGACGTATTTAAGTTCCAGTTCTGACTCCATAATTTACACTGCTGTGGTTCACTTAAAACTCTGTGAGCCTCAGTTTCTATATCTTTAAAATTAGGCTAATAATGCCTATGTAAGTGTTGTGAAATGCTCAGAAATATAAACTAAAATCAATGCTATTGTTTTCCTGTCATCTGGCAAAGAGTATTGCTCCAATTTTATGTGTCAAGTAATGTAAAACGTAAAAGTACTAACCTACCAAATCTGTTCTTTTTCTAATTGATTACAGAAGAATCCATTAACTTTAGTGGCAAGAATGTCTGTTATCTCTCAATTGTTCTCTCCCTTCAGGCTGATTTTTTTGCTAATATCTTTGGTGCTGAGATAATCCAAAAGAGAACCCCCATCTCCTTTAGTGGCAGAGCTGGCACAAGCTTATACACGACCTCAGGGACCTAAGAACTAGCCCACCAAGCTTGCTACCACTGGAGTCCCCAACACATCCAGTGGTAGTACTGCCACACACAGGAGAGCTGGCCAGCCCAATATCTTTCTCTCCAGCAAGGCCTCACCACAGTCTCTACAAACAACTGTAGTCTATGCTACCAAGACACTCACCCATACCACTGATGTTAATTGAAGTCAGAGAAATCACATGGAGACTATACTAATGTGCCCACCAGAACCCAAGCCAAAGCACTCTACCAAACCAACACTCTAGGACACATCTACAGGAAAAAAAGTCTTTTCCTATAAAAGCTACTCCATAAAATTGGAAGAAGAAACTATTCCACCAGTTGCACAGATATCAATGGAGGGATACAAAACAGGTAAATGCAAGGAAACGTGACACTTTCAAAGGAACAAAATAATTTTCCAGTAAGAGAACCCATCTCTAAAAGGAAATCTATGGAATGCTTGAAAAAGAATAATAATAATTAACAAAGAAACAGATACAAGAAAACACAGAAAAAATGTTTAAATAATAAGAAAAATAATTTATGATCTGAATGAGAAATTCAACAAAAAGATAGGTATCATGAGAAAAAATCGAGCAGAAACTCTGGAACTGGAAAATTCAGTGACTGAAATGATAAATACTACTGAGGGCTTTAACCATAAAGTAGGAATTTTTTACTTGAAGACATCTTTTGAAATAACCTCATCAAATAAGGAGAAAGAAACAAGGAAAGAAAGAATGATGAAAAGGAAAAAAGAAAGCAAAGTAAACATAGTAAAGAAAGCCTGTGAGACATATGGAACATCATTCAGCAAATAAATATTTGCATTATGAAGTTTCTGATGAAGATAAGAATTCATAGAAAACGTGCTTAATAAAGTAAGAGCTGAAAAATTCCCAAGTCTTCAGAGAGATATGGACTTCCAGAGTCAGAAAGATTAAAGATTTCCTAGTAGATTCAACCCAGAGGGTTTTCTTATCGATACTTATAGTAAAACTATCAAAAGTAAAAGACAAAGAGAATTATGGATACTGGAGTCTCCAAAGTGGGGAGGCTGGGAGGGGAATAAGAGAGACAAAAAGCCACATATTGGGTACAATCTTCACCACTCAAGTGATGGGTGCACTATAATCTCAGACTTTACCAATTGTATTAATCTGTTTTCATAATGCTATAAAGAACTGCCCAAGACTGGGCAATTTACAAAGAAGAGTTTTAATTGACTCAGAGTTCAGCCTGGCTAGGGAGGCATCAGGAAACTTACAATCATGGCAGAAGGCAAAGGGGAAACAAGGCACCTTTTTCACACGGCGGCAGGAAGGAGAAGTGTCAAGTGAAGGGAGAAGAACTTATTACACCATGAGGTCCTATGGGAACTCACTCACTATCATGAGAACAGCATGCAAGAAATTGCCCCCAGGATTTAATTAGCTCCACCTAGCCTCTTCCTTGATACATGAGGGTTATAGGGATTATGAGGGTTACAGTTCAAGATTAGATTTGGTTGAGGACACACGGCCTAACCATATCTCCACTATACAATTTATCCATGTAATCAAAGACCACTTGTACACCTAAAGCTACTGAAATTTTAAAAAATAAAAAAATAAATAAAAAGATCTTAGAATAATAATAATAAAAAAAAAAAAGCAAGAGAAAAGTGTTGTCACATGTAGGGGAATTTTTACCAGACTAAGAGCAGATTTCGCGGTAGAAATGTAACAAGCCAGGAATAATGGGATAATAGATTCAAAGTGCTGAAAGAAAAAAATAAAAGTTGGTCAAAAATACTATGTCCAGCAAAGCTACTGTTTAGCCATGAAGAAGAAGTAAAGTCTTTCCTATATGGACAAAAACTAAGAGAATCAATTCATCACCACTAGATTGGCCTGAAAATAAATGCTTAAGGGAGTCCAACATCTGGAAGCAAACAGATGATATCTAACATCATGAAATCATGCAAAAGTAGAATTACTGATGGAGAAAAATGTAATCCAAGGAAAATTGTGGTGCTATGATCAGAAGGCAAAAATAAATACTGGGAAAAAGGCAATATATATTTGTATAACTCTGCATAATCATATAATATATTACTGCTTTTTGTTTTGTTTATATCTTTATACATGCTGGTTTTGGTCTTGAATAATCTGAAGATGAATCTATGTGAATGAATTAATTTTTATATATTTTATTTTTTCTACCTCTGACTTCACCCAGCTCCCAACCCCCATCGCATACTGAACCCATTAATGGCTTCATTTCCATCATGTCAGTCATCAGTCCTTCTCTAAGCCCCAAGACATCCCTGACCAAGACAGGAAGTGTGCCTGCATTTCAGAACGGAACACAGAGTTCATCTACCCGATATGACCCAAATATCAGATCAGAAGAAGATACAGAGCAGGCAAAACACAAAAAGGAAAGGCAGCATAAAGTCAGTTCCATTTTATAAAAATGCCTTTCTTTTTTACTCTTCTTGGAAAATAACTTCTTGTTCTCAAACTTTTGGTGATCAGAAAAAAAAAATAACTTTATTTTTTTCTTTCTGATACATAGGAGCCTGGAGCCTGCCTCAACATTTTTTTCTCTTATTGTTCTACCTAGCTGCATACCTCAGTATTAATACTAGAATAAAATGTATTTTGCTTTTCTTTCACAATCCCCTCCTCCTTTCTTAAGCTTCATATTTTAGCTCTCTAATTAACTCCCAAGTAGGGTAATACCTAATAAGCATTATGTATACAATTCCTGAGAGACTATTTAAGAAACAACCCATAGAGTTATCCCTTGCATACCTTTGATGAGTTTCCTGGATCCCCTTTTGATCTGGATTAATTAATGTTCCTGAGGGAGTGCTGATTTTCTAGCATTCTTCCACCTTTGATGCAGAATCTCAAAATTCCCTTGTACAATAACTTTGGGTAGCAACATGAACGCAAATGGCTGTTCAGATTTCAAGACCTTCTATACTAATTCTTTGTAAACTTAGGCTGAGACAAGGGGGAAAAAAGCATGTAGCACCCTGGATAAATCTTAAATTCTGCCATCAGAGCTAAGATTTACCGTCATCTGTTTCTGCAGAGACAGACATTTTTTTTTAAAAGGCATCCTATGCTTGACTCTAAATCCTCACTTATATCTTCATCACCATCTAGAGATGGAGCACCTCAGGGAAGTTCCAGGGATTGCCATCAGCACCCCCTTCTCTCTGATACGTTGTTAAAGGTTTCCTTTCTAATAAATAATTTATTGAGTTCCTAGAGCTATAGACTGAAGTGTTTATTTTGGATTCTACATTTTTTCATTCAATAAATGTATTGAGTGTCCACACTTATGATATAATATGCACTTATACTTCTCCAGGTAAAGTAATATAAGAAATTGTACTGATTGGTGCAATTACTGAAAGTGAAAGTCCCATAATCACCGTCAGTTATAATTCTGTGCTTTTAGAATATATGACACAAAACCGGCAGCTTGATGAGAGCATAGCAGTCATGCATTCATCTGTATATCAATGCTAGGATAATATCATCTGAGGAGTCCATAGTTAAAGTCTCGAATGTAGCTTTTGAATGAATCATATATGACATACATAATCAGCAAGAACAGACACATGATTCTACTACTTCACTCTATTCCACCAGTTAAAGTTTGAGCTCCTAGGAGAAGATCTTTCATATACAAGACTTTTCCAAAATAACAGATAAAAACATAGACACAATAGTCCCAAAAATATTTTCAGAGAATTCAGGCAAGTTATTTTTCAAGTATCCATGATAATGCTCTGTTTATAGAAGTCAAAGACATAAAGTACAGATTATTCACAAGAAACAGCTGTCTTGAGAAACAAATCTGATTTATTCATTTAATAAACATTTGTTGGCACCATGCAGGTCAGTACTGTTGGGAATATAGTCATAAGAAAGATACGTTTTTATTAAAGCAGAATTTTAAATGAAGGGTATGCTTTGTGGAATAGGATTTTATAGATCTTTGAATTTATGTCAATACAATGAAATGACAAACCGTAGTTTCTTATCATTTAGTCTTCAATATATGACTTTAGGTTTTCTTCTTATCAATCTGTTCCTGTTACTAAGAAAACAATTTATAGTATTTTATAATAATGAGAATAAAATCAAATAGGGTATGGCAGGTCTTCATATTATTATTACAATTGTTCTTTTATAACTTGTATCCATTGCAATTTTCTTTGCTAATTTCCTCAAAAGTTAACTATGTAAAGATATTATATTTCTATATAATATCTCTAGATTTGTTTGTTCTAGGTTTTACTTGTCTAACCTAGAAGATTATCCTACAAAGTCCATGGCCTTTAATTATCTAACTTTGAAGGTATCATCTTTAGATAGAATGCCAATTTTGATTCTAAAAAACTTGATCTTGCTGTACATGTGAATCACATAATGCAGTTAATTGGTTCATTAATTATCTATAAAAATGTGGAAAAAGTCCTAAATGGTTGACAAATATATGCTAAAAGCAGGGTATAAATATAGGCCAACATTTAAAAGGTTTCCAAAATATTCTACATAAAGATAAAAAGGAAAAAAAAACAATTTTTACAAAAATCATCTTAATGTATGCTTTGTGACAGTTACACAAATATATAAAGTGTATGATACAATCCTTTATCTAAAAGCATTTATTTTTCAAGTTTTGAACTTGACTTTTTAGAAAATATGTCTAAGTTTTTACATATCATTATGTGATAGTCAACAATAGTGTCAAAATTCTAAACAATTTGATTCAATGTGAGAGGCTACTGCAATGTTTCTCACTTCAGTTACTCTTAAGTATTCTCTTCTGCAAGGCAAGTTACACTACCTCTATATTATCTAAAAGTGACTCTTCTCCAGGCATCAAGAGTGCAGAACATGACAGGATGAGCCAGTATGGACTTTTCACCTTCCCTTCATGGGGCAGAAAAACATTCAGGAAATCAGAGATTTTCAGTTTAATCATCAGGGCATGAACCTCAGGGCTCAAAGCTGCTGAGAGCCAACATACGGATTTTGAGGACAGATTCAACTAGCAAAGCCAATGGAGAGATGCATCCCAAATTCATGTTTGAGCCTTAAGTTCAGCGAAGCTTGTAGCAAGCCAGTTATATATCACTAGGTTTTCAATTAGTTAGAACAATAAATTTATTTATCTTCTCTTTTGAATAAACTTATTTAGGCAGAAAGAGAGTATCCGAGAGAGCGTGAATAAACAGCATGAGAAAACTTGGAATATCTTAGCAACGCAATGACACCATAAGACTGGCAGCACTGTAGAGAAAACAGAGTAAGAAAGAAGAGAGGCACAGGAAGGGGAGAAACAAAAAATAGGAAGGGTGACCATCAGGTGAAAAATAATGAGAACTTTCAGGAACATATGGGAGGAAGGTTTGACTCTAAAGCTATTAAGGGGATAGAATTAACAGGAAAAAATATAGCATTTGAAATACGAGCAGAAACAAACAGGGATAAAACAGGGCTGATATATGGGTTTCAAGCTTGTAATATGATATTAGATGTTATTAGTAGACGAAATAAGATTATAATGAAGAAAAATTAGAGGTTAGGAAGCAGGGATGGAGAAGAGATCATGAACTTAGTTTTACACCTTATGAATCTGAAATAATCATGGGATATCCAAATGAAAGTTCCAAGAGACAGTTGGTTATGCAGGTCTGAGCTATGGAATAAAATTTGGAGATGTCAGAGATACAATTTTAGCTGCCATCTATAGACAGAAATTAGTTAAGAATTTAACGGTAGATAAAATAAATCAGAAGTAATATGGAAGGCTGGAGGGGAAAAAAATAAGAAAGTATATCTGAGAACATTAACGTGTGAGATATACATAGAGTAAGAAGAGCTTGAAAGTAAACCTAAAATCTGTCTTCAGTAATAAGATTTAAAATGTAAATAATTATAAACAAAAAATAAACAAAAGGTGAAAGTTATGCTATGTAAAAGTAGGCAGAGGAGAGATTCTAAGATGGGGGAAAAGTCAGCAATAGCAAGTAATGCAGATGGGTCAAATCTTCCATTGAGTTTAGCAAGTCATTGGTGACAACTGGTATGGGGCATCTCAGAAAAATAGTAAAGGTGGAAGTAAGATTGCAGTAGAGAAAGTGGAATTGCATTAATAATTCACTCAATGGGTCATCGAGTTTGAAGTTGAATTCAAACTTATGAATCTAATTCTTTATAGAATCAAGGTCCTCTAGAAACTTGGTCATTTCCTATATGAAACTTTCAAAGAAGATATTTATATTCCCCATGAGAATAATACTAACTACATGGAATATGGGGTCACATTGAATGTCTCAGGAATTGTTGCTGATTTTTTTTCTATGAGAAAGCATAAGTACGTCTAATATAGTGAATGGCTCCCAAAACATTCATATTTAAAATTCATTTGACAACCAATATATAACATAACATTTATAAGAATGTCTTTGGTATGACCAACACCAAAGCAAATACAAAAACAAAAATCCTTAAAGACATACTATGTGTGAATGTTATAAGTTATCCAAAAATCTTGTTTCTATTTTGTCCCTTGTTAAATTTTTACCCTATGACTTGCTGAGAAGCTGCAGGAGAGAGAATTTCCTGATGAGTTGTCTAACAGCTTATTCTTTCCTCCTGCTATGTCCTCAACATCTATGTTCAATATTAAATTGCACTGCAGCGGAGATGACTGTGTGTGTGTGTATGTGTGTGTGTGCTTTAAGCAAAAGACAGAGGCTTGAGTGATTTAGTAGCTACAAATATAAATCACTGACAAGCAATTAACATATACTTTGGTTCAAAACCAAATATTTCCTTAGCAACAATCATAATCACTATTTTACAGTGAAAATTGGCATATTTATGATATGTTGACATTAAGATATTCAGTAAGCATATTGATGTTTAAATTCCATGTTTAAATGCAACTATTTATAAATCAATCATCCCACAATCACCTTTTCTTAATTTTGAAGTGCAAATATGTGAGTTTAAGATTTTAGATTGACCAAAGTGCTTATTTGTTTTCTTCCACATAGCTCAGTTTAAAATTTGTAAAAAGTATTAAACCACAGGAAAGAAAAGTGATAAAAGCAAATATGTGATTCAGCAAGTTTCTTAATGTTTGAAAGTAAATGGAAGGTCATAATTATTTAAAGCAGAATACAAAAATATCACATTGAAAATGGCAAAATTGGGTGAGTATGGATAACATACACTATCAAATTGACTGGAGAAAATACGACAAACTTAACAAATAAGGGTAGCATGAAAATCAAGAAAGATTAGTGGTGTCAGTTAAAATATTAAATAAAAGTATAGGTAAATTAGGGGGATCCTTCCCCAAGTTCTGAGCAATTTTCCCATAAGACTTCTCCTTCCCCATAACTAAGATTTTATTTTCTGAAGAAATTGTCAGAGAGCCACCAGACTTTTAAGTCAAAGAAAGTAAGGCCAATTCTTTGCTTGAGTACAGGAATGTCTACCTGCTGACAAGCTCTGCTCATACACAGAAGATTTCCAAAGAGCATCTCAGTGCCCAGCCACTAGTGACAGTGACAACTATCTATTAAAAATCCACACACACATTTTTACATATGTATATATTTACATATATATATATACCTATATATGTAAAAAATATATATATGTATTTCCCTCATCTTTTAGAACACAACAAGAGTATTTATCTCAACTTCCCAATAGTTAAACTTGGCCTTGTGACTGAGTTCTAGACAAAGGCAGGTGAGAAGTCCCATGTGCCACATCCCATCCTATCTTGATTTATGAAACCTTCTTTGCAGGCTGCTTATTTTTTTCCCGCAGAAAGTTGTCTGGGGTAACAAATCCTCTGAGCGAGCTTGGAAGCCATGTGTTGCAGATCATTCCCCTGGCCCCAAGGTCCTGTTGACTTAAAATCCACCCACACAGAGATACATGAAAAATAATAAACACTGAACAATTACACGTGAAGATATATATGTTTCCATTGCCTACATACTCATCTAATAATTTAATGTGAATGGAGAAGCAGGATTAATCAGCCTCTTTGAATAAAACCTGAAACCCTAAAAATGGAAAATAAAACAGAATAAAAAATAAAAGGTGGGAATAGGGAGAGGAAATAATAGAGAGGTAGCTAAATAAAACTGCTTTAAAATAAACATCCTCACAAAGATAAGAAAATATAATTTTAAAAAAGCAAATGACTTAGAGGATAAGAATGAGATCTTGAGAGAAAAATATTAAGACCCACAAACAAAAATAACAATAACAACAAAAATACTCAAAATACTCCTAGACCAATTATCTTTCAATCCTAACACAGCACCTGAACTGCTTTTCATGTTTACTAATAACCTCCATTTTTGAAACCAGTAATTATTTATCAGTTCCTGTCTTTTTGGAATCATTAATGGTATTTGAAACAATTGATCCTTATAAGGGCCCAGAGCTCTTCTTTTCTTAAAATAAAAGAAATATGAGGTAGTACTCAGCAATCAAGTAGTCCAGATAGGTCAAATCTTCCATTGAATTTAGCAAGTCATTGGTGACAACAGGTATGGGGCATCTCAGAAAAATAGCAAAGGTGGAAGCAAGATTGCAGTAGAGAGAGTGGAATTGCATTAATAATTCACTCAATGGGTCACTGAGTTTGAAGTTGAATTCAAACTGGAGAATCTAATCCTTTATAGAATCACAGTCCCTTAGAAACCTTGACCTCTTCTTTTCTTAAAATTTAAGGTCCACAGACCTTTTCTTTTCTTAAAATTTATATCCAGCCCAACTTCTCTTCTAAGCTCTAAACTTGCAGGGTTATCTAATTTGTATGCATTATACTCATCTCAAACGTAACATGTTTAAAAATGAGATCTTAATTTGCCTTTCTAAGCTCATGCTAATCTTCCCATCTCAGTGACAATTTTAAAAATCCTGAAGTCATCCAATCTCTCTCTCTACTTCATATCTCACATTTAAGCCATCAATACATTATGGTGATTCTATCTTTAAAATGTATTCAGAATCAAAACCACTTCTGACCACCGCACTGCTAATACCTTAGGCTGAGCCACCATTTCTTTGTGCCTAAATTATTGCTTGGGCTCCTTAATTTCTCATTTCTGCTCTCATCTACCTGTTGACTATTTCCACAGAGCAGGGAGAGTAGCACCTTTACAATGTGCATTAGGAAGACTTCTGATTTCATTAAGAAGCCCCTCTTGTTACAACACAAAAGCCCTGTACACAACACAATTAATGAGCATAGAATGACCCTGAGAAGTAGAAAGAACAAGGTGAACTGGCTAGAGACCTAAGGGCCAACAACAACATGGCAGTGAGCCCTCTGGGTTTCCTTATTCTGGCCCATAATCTGGGGCAGGGCTCCAAAATGGACTGGAATATAGATGCAGGTCCAAAAAGCTCCAAGAAAAATATCTTTACTCTAAACAAAGGACCAGAAAAATGGTGGTCTAAAAACAGAAAAAGTTTTGGGAAATACTTGCCTACTCCAGCCAAATACCAAGGACAAAAATTGCACCATCTCTACCCCACTAGTGACTTCAGCAATGTCAAGTAGGGAGCAGATTTTTCACAAATGACAACCTTGCTTCTGAGAAAGCAGGTAGCTGCCACTAAATTCATCTACTCAAGGAGCTGTGATGAATGGTTTTGTGTGTCAACTTGACTGGGCGATAAGATACCCGAATACTTGGTTAAACATTATTCTGGGTGTGCCTGTAAAGGTGTTTCTGAATGACATTAACATTTGAATTGGTAAACTGAGTAAAGCAGACTGACAACCCAAGTGTGGATGCGCTTTATCTAAACCACTGAAGTCCCGAACAGAACAAAAGTTGCTCTCCCTACCTGTCTTCAAGCTGGGACGTGAGTCCTTTACCATCAGACTTGAACTCAGACTGGATCAATACCATCAGTATTCCTGGATCTCCAGCTTGCTGACTGCAGATCTAGGGACTTCTCATTCTCTGTGATTACTTGGGACAATTTCTTGTCTATCTATCTACAGATAGACAGACAAATAGGTAACCTATTTGTCACCTATCTAATTTCCTATTCATTCTGTATCTCCAGAGAACCCTGACAAATACAGTAATATAGCCAGGTTGAGCACTGGCAGGGTGGGATCTTATATCTCATTCACTACCAGAAAGAAGGAAATGTACTGAGTCCCCCATTCCCAACTCCTACCCATATCATGCTGTTAGCAGAGTCCTCCACCTGGACCACCAGGTGAGCTAGGTGAGCCTCTATTCCTACCCAGTACCAAGCTGACTTAATTAAGGAGGCAATATGAGGATGATCTTGTCAATTGTAGGCTCCACTCCACTACTCCATGTCACCACCAGCACCCAATATCAGTAGGCTCAGGGGAACTGAACCTTCATCCCCACCTGGGCATCAATGAGATTGAAACTGTGTTGCAAGTCTAGGCTAGTTAGCACTGCGCTTTATCCCCACCCTTGGTGTCAGGGATATTGAGTAGCTGAGCCTCCACACCCATTCTGCAGCAAAAAAGTATTGCAAGTCAATTCTCTATTTTCAATATCTCTGGTGGCTCTGGGATACAGGAGGGAAGCTGAGATTTTATACACCCACCCAGAGGCAATGAGGCAGTATAAGTCTGGGTCTTAAAACTGCTGAAAGGAGGACTGCCATTCTGAAAAATCATGGAATTTAGTGGCCAGCATTTTTGAAGACTTAGAAAAATTTATTTTTCTAAGTCAATTTATCTATTGACTATCATGATCTGTGGAATGTCTCAAAAAAATTTAAAGATACAGGTTCAGCAAAGTAAGCTGAAAAAGGCATGAATTAATGATAGAAAAATAAAAAATTAGAAAAGAATCACAATCTATTTTTGCATATTGTAGTAAAGTAGCCATAATTTATATATGTATATATATGCTTATATATACATATATACACACATATATATACATATATAAACATATATATACATATATATACACTTGTGTATATATATGTAAAACTGTGCTTAGAACTTGGGGTAGGATAAAAAATGAGCTGATGGTATAAAATAACCAAATGTTAAATAGCGTAATAGGAAGAAAACAATATCTTGAATCAGTAAATCAAAAGATAACATCATAATCAT
The DNA here is from genome assembly GCF_000001405.40 of Homo sapiens. Lineage (NCBI taxonomy): Eukaryota > Metazoa > Chordata > Mammalia > Primates > Hominidae > Homo > Homo sapiens. Next base: position 54,793,870 of record NC_000010.11, read on the forward strand.
GTTATTTAAAAATATGTGAATAAATAAAATAAGAAACATCACAAAAAAGGGTTTACAAAGTTGTATAGGAAAACTTGACTAAGGGGCAGGAATGTGTTCTTTTTTTTTTCATTATACTCACAATTTAATGTTCTTTTTTGAAAACAATGCACAGCTATTTCTTTGATTAAAATAATCATGAATTCTAAGAAACTGCTTTGAGATATATATATATTTCCTTTAAGATATATATTTCTTTCCTTTAAGATATATATAAGATATATATATATCTTATATATATCTTAAAGGAAATATAATCTACATCAAAATGGCAACTATTTACTAAACATGCATTTTATTACATAAACACACAGCAATGCTCTTTGCTTTGGCATTTTCTCAATTACACAATATCTTCCATTCAAGTTACCATCTCCTAAAAAGTTATTTGAGAAAATCTTATTTCTCACAATGAAACCTTATTATCTGAAGCTCAGCTGAATATTGTTCTATCCTTAGCCCTAATTTACAAATACAAAATAATAATTAATATAATGTATGCTATTGAAAGCTCAGTATATCCTGAGTGGAAATTTTTCAATAAACCTTATAAATATGCCTGAAATGTTTGCTGTCATTTTTTTGAAAAATATTAGCACACCAATGCAACTATAGCTAATGTTCCAAATGGAGTATTTTATTTCATGCTTACCGTATCAGATGGAATGTAAGGTTAACAGACTTTCAACACCTCTTAAATGAAGGGCTTCATGCACACACATTCAGAAGTAAAATTAATCAGAGGGGCAAAATCTGTACCTACCTGGTAGAGGTTAAATGGATGGCATATTTAAAATCACCATTCATAGCTCCTGGCACACAGTAGACTCTAAATATTTTTTCCTTCTATCATTTATAAGATAAATTCAACAACACATCAAAGAAAGTAGGAAAATAAACATTCAAACCAAACTCTTGCATTCATTCCTAGATTGCTTTTTTTAAAACATAGTCAAACAGTAGTAATAACAAATTTAGTAAAAAGTTCTGAATTGTAAAATTCAAAAATTGTTTAAGTTCAAATTTTTAACATAAAATTGAAAATCAAAATTTGAGTACTTTACTTTCTGGCAAATCTCTTTATTTATCATAATCTGCCTTATAGCTAGGGATAGCCTTAGTACTTTCATATTATACATTTTCACTTACAAACCATACACATTCTTTATGATGATATTTCTCCCATCTTTTCTTGAAATTCAGAAAAAGAAGTATATGTGTGTCTCATTTAAAATTCTCCACACTTCTTAGTTTTATACTTTTTTTCTAACTTAATGGTCCACTTTTCCTTGTCCTTGGTCGATCTTCACTCATCTTACTATAAACATTCACTTACTTTTTAAAAATTCCTACCGCCTCTCTCTTCCAAAACCAGTCCTTATATTAAGTAATTAAATAAAAATGACCAAGTCACCACCAGGACAAAATAAATGTCCATTCTCAAAACTATTACTTCAGTTGGCCTTAAGAAAGTAGGATGGACAGTAGGGAGATATCTTTTCTAGTAATTCTGCAAATCAATACCACCATTCTCTGCAAAGCAGACAGGAGGAAATTGATTGTTTCATTGCAATGTTTCATATTAAAAAACCAAAACATCATTTCAGCTTTTCCATACTCTATGGAAACTAATATTCAGAGCAAATATGTATTCTTTCATCAAATATTTATTGAGTACTTACCAAATTTTGGACACTGAGCTAGTTAGTGGAATTACTAAAATACAACGTGCAAGGCCACAAATGAAATATGCTTTTTCATTTAATTGAGAGCAAGACTATGAGATAGAAAATAATACCTGAGTTTTCCAGGTGATGCAACTATAGCTTATCAATATTAAATTACTCACTATATTCTGTGCAGAATAAGGGTTGAAACAAGGATTTAACTTGACCTCTGATGCCTTGACCTCTGATGACAATGCTTTTGCTTTCAAGAATTATACCTAAATAATTATGTTGATGTCAAGGATGATGATGATGATAAGTATCAATCTCCATTTACTGAAATATACCTTGGTTTCAGGTCCTGTGCTTGCATGCTTTATGTATGTGAATTACATCCTTTTATCACCCTTTACAGAGAGAAACCAAGGCTCAGAGAAGTTAAACAACTTGATCCTTGCTGGTAAGGGAGTGGAATAGAATTAAAGCTCAATTCCATCTGGTTCTGTATTCTTTTCTTTACCATCAATTCTCTATAGCAACAGTTATTGAAACTTGAAGACCCATCTCACAGCCTCTCTCTTACATACACACATTTAATTTCATTCTCCATGCTTGGATCACAGGCTCTCTTCTCTGTCTTTCTACATTATCTATCTATCTATCTATCTATCTATCTATCTATCTATCTATCTATCTATGTATCTATGTATCTATCTATCTATCTATCTATCTATCTATCTATCTATCATCATCATCTAGGTATCTATATCTATATATCAACCTTCCTATTATCTGTATGTATGCCTGTCTCAGTCTCCCTTTCTGTCTCTATCTCTCAGACTTTCTGTCTCTATATCCCTTTCCCTATCTCTTTACATTTTTTTGTTTCATTTTGATTATTATTTGTCTTTCTGGCAATCTGTCTATTTCTGTCTTTCTTGACCCTGTGTTTTCCCGGCCTGTCTGTCACTCTGCTTCTACCTTTCTGTCTCAACCTATCTCCACTTCTCTCTCTTTCTGTTCTTTTCTAAGTGTATATCTCAGTTTCTCTTTCTGTTCCCTTTCTCTTTTTCTTATATTTGACTGTCTCTAACTTTTATTATGTTTTTCCCTGTGAGTCTCTCTCATTTTCTTTGTGTGACTATCCCTGTATCTCTCTTTGAGTTTGTATCTCTGTGAATATCTTTCTGTGACTTATCTGTGTCTGTCTCTGTCTCTCGGACAGAGATGTAAGATTCTAAAGTAATAAAAACCTCTCATCCAGTTTTAATGACCCTTTTCTGGATTCCAGTGATGTGCTGCAAAGTTGAAGAAATAAGTCCCTTAAATGATAAAGCAAAAAGAAAAGTCACTGTCCTTGGATAAACAATTTGCATTTCCATAAGGATTCAGTGATGCAGAATCAGAAAAGGCTCATTCTGACACCTCCATGAAAACAACAGGGAGAGCATTCATTAGCTGGGCTTCCTTTTGAATGATGCACTTCATTGCACACACCGCTGTCCTCCCCCGGTCAGGAAACAGTGCTTAATTCTATCGGAAGTTTGCCCTTTCACTAGGCATGAGAATGAATGACTTTTCAAAGTAATAGGAACTACACATCTGCCATGGCCTGAGAATGCTTACACTCTAAAAGCCATACAGAAAGTTACACCTCCTATCAATTTCTTATCCATCAAGGAACACAATAAACAAGCTTTGAACTTTTCCATTTACCAACTTGAAGGAAAGAAATGCTTCATTTTCTTTAGTTTTTTGAAATAATGACTGCTTTTGCCTCTTACATTTATAGCTTCAATAGCCATGATCTAATTTTAAGGGTGAATGCAACCTTTAAACAAGGTTTATGATATAAAAGGAAATTTGTCCATTACAGTGCTCAGAAACTTTTACTCTTTAGGTGAAAATTATTTTGTTGCTGTTATTGTTGAAACACACACACACACACACACACACACACACACACACACACACACGATCATCTTAGGAAGTAATTGGACAAGATTAAAACAATTAATTGTATTTAAAATTATTTAGCAATTTACAGGTTTCTTATTCATTTTGCTGGCTTCATTTATAAGTTATGTATTTTAAATGTGGACACTGAGGAACAAATGTTTAGAGGGTGTGCTGAGGTTCTCAAGGAAAATAATTGTTGTCCTTCGGACAGAATATGATGTTTCTATGCTCCTTATATTAATAAATAGCACACATGTGTATGTGTGGGCAGGGGGGGAGCGGGGTGTGTCCATCTTACTCAGCGTGACTGACTTTTAGGCTGAGATTAAGTCATACTCGTCTACATATTCTTCCAAGTCTCTCACTTCAGTTTATACACCACAGTTGAAAATTGTATTTTAAGGTCAAGCTAGTCGCTCTCACATTCAAAACTACCTCCCATCCTGCCCCTGCCATCCATACATGCAACGAATTAACATGTGCATTTGGAATTTCTGGGTGTATTCTCGGTTCTTGTCACCATTTCAACCTAAGTGCTTCCAGTATTCAATTTAAATAAACGTTACAGTTTCTGGGTGATTTACACCTCTGGAATTTCTATGGCGACTCTATCAAGAGAAAATAATCTGGCCATAAATTACTCACATTAGCTTTTTTTTTTTCCTCACTCAAAATTGACTATGAGCACTAATGAGTCACCACACTTCCTTCCAATACCCTTGGATGCAACTCAGTCATATTTGAGTCTGAAACTAATAAATGAAGCCCCACAGGTCACTGTTAGTTTTGAATCCACATTCTCTCATGCTATAGTGTTAACGACAACAACAAAATCCCATTACAAAAGAAAATATATCAAACCTCAAACAAAGTTTTAGTTGAGAGTAACAAAAATAGTTTTTGGATGCCATCCCTGACAAGTAAAACAATCTTTTCAATATTATAATTGTATAGTCTTATTTTGCATGTGAAAACCACAGATACATAGAATGACAAAATGATTCTAGTTCACAAGTGGTCCCGATACTAAGAACTCTTTTAAAAAATGGAAAAATACAAACAAAATGACTATGACCAAAACCCACTCTTAAAATAGAGTCTGAAGTAAAATTAAACTTTTAGATAATAAATATGATCATTTTATGAAGTAGTGTGGTCTCTTTGTTTAGATTATTATTTCTGCTAACTTTTCCTTGTGTTCAAATCCTGAGTGAAACTTAAAACCATGTATTTCTCCCAGCATTAGGGCTACAATAAAATGTAAATGTATATGGGGGGCTTCTGTGTTAGGAAGAAGTTAATATAACAGCTCGTTTATGAAAAGCTATTGTTTTACACCATTTAAGTAGGAAAAAAAGTTCCTACAGTCTGAAATTGTATCTGCACATTTACAGAAAGGGGGAGTACACTCATCTACCCAATAAAGTAGTCACATTTATGAAATTACTTTATAATTTTTGGTTTTACATTTTACTATTTTGAGAAGGTTCATAATTTGTCTAAGGAGTAAAAGTCCTCATGATAAAGTGATAACACAAAGGAATCATTAATTCCTCAACATGTATTTGCTTGACGTACGTTTTGTGATCAAATAATTATAGTGATTTCCTTTGATAAAAATAATAATTACCTTTTGCCTTTAATTTCAAACATAAGCTATGAACCAAATACTGGAGAATTTTTGCAAGTGGCATAAAAACAATTTATGTCTGCCTATCTGCTGTGAAAGTTGTATAATAAAAAGATACAACACATACCATGCAAAATTTAAATGTGAACAAATTAAGAGCAAAGTTGTAATGGACATTTATTTTTCACTGGGTTTTTTTAAAGCATAATTATTAGTGTTTTTTAAAACTATAGTTCAGATACTTATCAAATATTATCAGTGGGTATACCATATTTTTAAACATTTCCTAGAAAATGAAATGTTTTATTTAAATCTTTTTGTGAATAATATTCAAAACTTCATGCCATAATTTTCCAGAGAAGTTGCTGACACTTAGGTAGCACAAACTCTGACCTGTTCAGGTCACTTAATGATTATGTTTAAGGGTAATTTGGGGGGCAAAGTTGTAGGGATTCACATTTCCTGCTCAGCACATAATTGCAACAGCTGAGGGGTTAGGAGGTCGCCACTCAGTGGAATTGGGCACCCATTAAATGGCACTTTTATTTCATAGGAGAATGAGTCCACAGTCAAGGGGATCAAGTTGCTGAAACTTGAAGACACACATGTACAGATACATTCACTCATTCACACTTAGCCACAACTTAAGCAAACTAAAGAAACTAATAGTAAAACCAATTTTCTGTGAAAAGAAAACAAAAAAACAGTTCACATGAGCATATACAACAAAGCTTCATACCTGCTGTGCAAACCACAGCAAGCATTTTGCGCTCAAAATATGCCTCTTTTACAGATTATTTGTTTCTCTAATGTTAAGCAACATAATAACTTAAGTATTTGGTTACTAGATTTGACAATTGGCTCTTTTGTGAAAGCAAATGAGTATGACTTGGAGTTAACCTTACAGGAGGCCATCATATTATACTCTAGTTAACAATGGCTTTCTGCATACGTGCTACAAGTCCATCAAATCGATGGCCATCTGTGTGTACTAGAGACACAGAGTATCAACACACTGAACCTGAAACTTGTTATTCAGGGCCCACCCACTCTATAGCTACCAAAGTATATTTTTTAAAGTAAAGGCCACATCACAAAGTGGGAAAGCTGTTAATACTATCTAGCATTAATTCTGTATTAGAAGGATACAGTTGACCTAGATTCAAATTCTAAATGGTTAATGCTTCCAGATACGCACAAAGGAAGTAAATATTCTAATAAACTAAAACATCCACAGTAAAAATATCAGTATACTCACAAAAGACAAAAAATACTGTTCATTGTGAGGCAGAATTAGCTACTTTAACTCAACTGCCAACTATAACCTCCAGCAACAACCACTCATAAAACAAATCATCAATATTTGCACACAGAAAAACAAAAAGTCAATTCTGATGCCATTTTTCTGTATTTTTTCAGGTTGGAGGAAGTAGAAGAAGTGGTTGAGGACTAAAAATTCTTTTAAATAACAAACCAGAGTTATAATTCAAAAGCTTGTGTCTTTGTAAAGATTACATTGTCATCTAAACAAAATTACAATACCAGACAGTAATCAGGAAGAATGAAAGGACAGGCAGTTGTGTTCACTCTTCCAGCAAATAATCACTTGCAATCATTACTACTCTATTCTTTCAACAAGCATGACAGAAAGTAGCATCATGACAGAGATCATTGTACTGAAAGAACATCTTAACTTTCTCTGTGGTTCACTGCTGCCTTAAATTTGAAAAAAATAAGAGAAGGGCGGGGGAAGAACTTACTTGCGGTTTAAAGTTTCATCTTTAGTCCATGTAAGATTATGCAGCAAGTTTTCTTGCCAAGGCTGCCTCTTGCACATCCCTTTAAAAAGAACCAGTGCTCATAATCTAGTTCCAAGACGATTCATTCACATGTTCCACCTCTTGTTTCTGTGAGGCATTGATATCCACTCTCATATCATCAAGAAAATGTTACTAGGAAAATTTTTAGAAAAGCAAAACAGTTCAACATGTTAACTCAGAAAGCATACCATCATTCTCCACGTTCTGAGATGTATGCCACCTGCCTTAGTTACCACAAGCAACTAACACTAAGCTGCTAGCAGGAATCTGTCTGCCCTCTATCTGTCGCTATTAGCTCAGCACGTTGATTTCACTGGCACTGAAGCAACAGCAATTAGCTATCTTGCTTCTCGCAGCACATACAGGAGACAGCTGAGTGCGCTAAACCACGCACTGACTGGTGAGCGCTTTGCACCAATTAGTAGCAGGTGCTACAGCCCAAAAGACAAATTGATGTCCACTGATCATCGGTACTGGCTGCTTTATTGTACTGTGTTCGTCAGCCTGTCTGATGATTCTCTGTTCTGTTTTGTGTGTTTGTTTTTACTGTTTTACTTTATCTAAGAAGTTTAGCAGCTTACATTCAATAACAATGTCGTTGACAAGATAAAATAATCTCTTAAGCTTCTTTTATCATTCTCTCTGTCTCTCCCTCTCTCTCTCATTAAATCTACCCTCTTATATGAAGCCCTCCACATCTTTGGGGCATAAAAACAAAACAAAACAAAACAAAAAAACAATTTCACAACTTCACACATTCTGTAGGAGCCAAAAGTACTCTTTAGATTTTTACAAACACGTGTGACTGGTAGTATATAAGGTTATCACGAAGAAATATACTATACAAAACATTATAGCATATTTCTTAAACATTGTAATATATGAAATCTCCAAAACAAAGTTTTACAGATGGACAGGTAAACTAGTAAAATACAATTATGTCATATAAATCAGAGAAACATTTCTTAAGGAATCTATCTTGCATAGTACATATTTCAATTCCATATTAAATTTCACCCATGTGTTCACCTGAGCATATGAGAAGGAAGGATCTAGAAACAAGCAATTTAGGAACATATTTTAGTAGTGATTGTGACAGAGCAGATAGGCTGAGGCTGGTTGAAAATGACAGGTGAAGACTATCACAGACAAAAGCCCCAGAACACATGTTTTCTTAATGAACCATGTGGATTATTTACTAGGATGATACATTAACTCTAAGAAGAAAAAGAAAACCATGCCTCCAGAAATGTTGCCGTATTTATGCACAAGCATTTGCAGAAAATAACATCTCATTTAAAACAAAATGGACTTATCTTGCAGGCTCAGTTTTCCAGAGGGAGGGAAAAATCTTTAAGAATATGGAAATAATCTGAGGCAAGCCAAATGTGTTATACATTTTAAACATTAACACGTGTAGAAGTAAATCAGATAATTATAGATGAACCCCTTGAGCCTCAAGTGGAACCCATTTGTTTTTATTTTATGTACCACTGAAACAAACTAAATTACTTGCTTCCTTAAAACCACAGATCAGTGGGAGTCAATGAGGACTTGTAATAAGTGAATACATTATACACTTGTTAGAACTGATATTTTTAGATTTTAAAATTGATGTGTTAATAAAGATAACTTTATTGATACATGTTTAAATAATGAGCATATTTTGTGTGAGAAGTTTTTCTGTTCATTTCACTAAATGTCTCACCTGTGGAGCAATCCATATATTGATATTTGTTGAATAGAGCAGCTGGTATTTTAAGATTGTTTCAGTAACCATAAGAATTATTAAGTGTAGTTATTTTTCTAATGACAATTCAGCCTCATTCGTGGTAATGTTCAATGATAACTCTGATGACACATCAGAAATATAGCTAGAAAACAGAAAATTTTATCCCTTCCTCATCTTCTCAGAGCAATTCAATTATTACTAATTGAACACTTGTCAATGACAACAGCTGATTTTCATTTTCAAAAGTAAATTACAATATCTAGTTTTCAGAACAACATATTTAATGAAATGTGAAAATGCAATATTTACTTCGGGATGAATAAAGGTTAAGTTTTAACCAGTTTGAAAACACAGTAAGCAAAATGGAGTCACTGTAATATTTACTACTAGAGATGATATTTTCTTTGAAAAAAGTGTTGCATAATATTCTGTCACCTCCCCTGCATTGTAAAGTCCACTTGAATCCTACTCTGAATATGACATTTAACTTCCTTTTTTCTCTTAAAATATATCGTGAACATTCACTTCTATAAACACATATAGGTTTAAATTATCATCTATGTTTCATTGCATGTATATGTATATTTTCTTTAACAAAATACCTATTTTTTGACAGATAGTTTCTAATTTTAATATATTTGTAGAATCCTGGTTTAAGACGCTTAACTTTCTGAACTTGCATTTTACCACCCTTAATCAAGGTCTTGAGTTAAGGTGGCTGGGGAGGAGTGGGATAAAGTGCCATGTAACCAAATGACAAAAGCTTGTGAGCCTTTGTGCTCTGGCTTAGGGGTGGGTCTGAGGAAGAGGCACCGTTTTTTTTCTTTCCACAAAGGCAACACCATGCTATCCACTATTCATTTGTCTAAAGATGCTTTCTCTAAAATTCACAGAGGTGCATGTGGACTAGACACACTGCTCATACAGAGTGGTCTGTTACATGAGAGAGGAAATGTAAACTGTCTACCACAAAGTCTGATACACAGGAGTTGCTCTTTAAATCATAGCTGTCAATCATAGATACATGAAATTAGGTTTAGTTTACTTTACGACGGAAAGAGATTGTATTAGGTGCTTTAGAAAGATTTTGAACATTGAAAACATTAACATTTAAAACATTTAAACATTGATGATTAGAATTTTATTAAAAAATTTTAAAAGTCACATAATACAGTTTAAAAATGAATCATTAAATCTATCAACTATAGAAAAATGGATATATAAATTTCATTACATAATTTTAAGGATAGTTATATAGCTCTTGAAGTACTAATTATGAAACATATTAAAAAGTGGTAATAAACAAAATAAGCTGTCAAAAAAATTTTCTTTTTTTTTTTTGAGATGGAGTCTTGCTCTTTCGCCCAGGCGGGAGTGCAGCGGCGCTGTCTGGGCTCACTGCAAGCTCCGCCTCCTGGGTTCACGCCATTCTCCTGCCTCAGCCTCCGGAGTAGCTGGGACTACAGGCGCCCACCACCACGCCCAGCTAATTTTTTGCATTTTTAGTAGAGACGGGGTTTCACCATGTTAGCCAGGATGGTCTCGATCTCCTGACCTCGTGATCCTCCCGCCTCGGCCTCCCAAAGTGCTGGGATTACAGGCGTGAGCCACCGCGCCTGCCAGCTGTCAAAATTTTAAAGTTGAAGACAAATAGTATACATTCCCTGTTAATAACTGCATTCAAACATGTCCATATTCATAAATACTGGCAATGCCATGATGAATATAAAGTGATGATTATTGTAGAGACCATGCTGAATCTTTCCCTTATGTCTGTTTTCATGGATTTTTATTTCTTAAATTCCTTTTTGCACCATCTTCTTGTCATTCACCTCCCCTTCCAAAAAAAAAGAAAATGAATATGTTTAGCAGATTTTTGCTTCTTCATGTTGGTTCACAAATATATATTCTGTGTTTTATTCTAAATCTTCATCTAATTGTATTAGAATTTTGTGAGTATTTTTCATAAAAAAGTATTTTTTACATTCCACAAAGCAATGATATAGAAACACATAATGCTCTACTGTATGCCAAAAATTAGCTACATCCTACACACAGCTGTGAAGATTACCATAAACATTTGTGTTCATGCCAGTTCATCTGTGCACTGGTATTTAATGAACAATGAAAAGCAAATATCTAGTCAAAGATACAAACTTTCTTTTTCTGTATTTAATTTTTTTGGAATCTTGACTTGTTTTCATAGTAGATTATATATATATATATATATATACAGAGTTTGCTACAGTGCAAAGCTAGTTCTCTCACCAGCAAGAGAATTAAAATACTGTTTATGCCATTGACTTACTCTGGCAAATGTATATATTAACTAAATATAATATTTCTTATAATATTTCCAGTGTTTTGGTAGGGAACATTTCAAAGTATCGGGTTAAATATAGCAAACCAATACTAACTCATATATTATTCTCAAATATATGTCTTTGAGAAAGGAAGACATAAGAGGATTTTGTCTATCCTCAGGATGAGGGCTGAGTCCTGGAGTCAATAGGAACTGCAAAGTAAAGAGAGGTAGAGAAGGCATTTTTTTAAAACCCAGGTTAAAGTTTTACTGAATGAAGGCCTCTGCAGTATTATCAAAATAGCCTTGCTCATTACAAGCAGTGTCTCACCAAATTGCCTGGGATCGAGTCATTCTAGACGACTTATTGTCAGCAGTCATTTAGAGTTGAGATTCAAAGCTGTTGGTTATAATCACAAAAAGACCTTAACCAGGGACTTGGCAACTGGAGGGTCATCTGTATTCACACCAATAAGTCTTTGTCATGATTTCATGTTGCATAGCTTTGTTTTTTATTCTGACACCCTTTTATTGTCAGAATTCAAGGTAGACATAGTTAATTTAGTTTCTTGCCAGCAATATCTACTTTCACTTTTTTTAACCCTAGCACTTACCTGTTTTATAGTGACAACTTGAGGGATAAGGAACAGTATAATCTTTATTTAATACTTGTCTCTGCTGAGTTTCCAACAGGCAGACTGTTATTTGAGAAAAGCAATTTGGGATATAATACAGTAGCTTAAGGGCAATGCTCCAAGAAATAACTAATTTCATAAAATTATAGGTGTATAATAAATATACAATGTGATTTAGTAAAATATGTAAAGATGTTGAACTGTTCACATCATCTTTTAAAATATAATTCTTAAAGAGTATTAAATTTAGAGCAAGAAACTTATTTCTAAGCATTTCTGTTGGGCTTTCAAATAGGGACTATTTTTATGCTTGAGTGAGATTAGGTATTATAAAGTCAAATTATTTGAATATTTCATATAATCTAAAATTATTTGAAACCTGGAAAATAAAACTAAAGAGAAGTGCAGATAATATTTGTAAAATACTTTTTTAATTTAACAGATTTATTATTTAGAGCTATCTTATACTTTCCTTAGGAATACTTCTGGTATTTTCCTAAGGAGAAGAATTTAGACTTTACAAAATAGTTTAATTGGTTTAAACAGAAAAAAAGAATTACATACGCTACCTCTTCACAATTCCAGTTTTTATATGCTGGATGTATTAGTATTGTATTGTTGTATAACAAATTATCCCAATTTTAGTAGCTTGAAGCAACACACATTTATTATTTCAGTGTGAGTCAGAGGTCCAGATCAGGGTCTCACAGGCTCTAATCAAGGTATTGGCTGGTCTGAGTTCTCTTCTCAAGGCTCAGCTGGGGAAGAATTCAGGTTGTTTGGAAAAAAAAATCATTTGGTTATGACTATATGACTGAAGGTTCTGGCTTGATTTTTTTTTTTTTTCTGAGACGGAGTCTTGCTCTGTCACCCAGGCTGGAGTGCAGTGGTGTGATCTCGGCTCATTGCAACTTTTGCCTCCCGGGTTCGAGCAATTCTCCTGCCTCAGCCTCCTGAGTAGCTGGGATTACAGGCACCCGCCACTATACCTGGCTAATTTTTTTGTATTTTTAGTACAGACGAGGTTTCACCATGTTGGCCAGGAAGGTCTTGAACTCCTCACCTCGTGATCCACCCGCCTTGGCCTCAAAGAATTCTGGGATTACAGGTCTGAGCCGCCTCGCCTGGCCTGAGCCACCACGCCAGGCTTAAGGACTCTTGGCTGAAGCTTGCTTCAGGCATTAGCGGCTCCTCTTAGTTCCTTATGCCACATGACCTCTTAATAAGCAGTTTAAAACATGGCTGATTGCTTTTTCAAGGCCACCAGGAGAAGCTATGTATACTAGCAAGATAAAATCTTACATCTGTATTGCAACGTAATCGCAGGACTGATATCCTATCACCTTTGCCTTAGTCTATTGGTTATAAGCAAGTTATGATTTCCTCCTGCACTCAGAGGGAAAGGATTTATACAAGACATAATGCTAGTGGCCCAGATAAAGGGACCATCTTAGAATTCTGTCTGCTATGCTGAATTATTTCCTAAAGTATTTAGCATATTCAGTTAGACAGCAAATTATATCTAAATGTGTAGAAATAGTAATTTAGTAAAGTTGTTGAAAATTCTGAACAATCAAACATACTTTCAATAGGTTTAAAAATCGTATAGAACATTTTATATGTAAAATTATACATAATTGTATCAGAGAAAAAAGAATAATATGAGCCCCATCAAACTACAAGCACTTTGATCACTTAGTTGACATATTTGGAACTGGAATAGTTGTGAAAAATATTTCCAAAAATAAACCAAAATAAGTATTAAAAGAATCTCAGTATAACCTTAAGCTACATGCAACAGAGGTACAACACAAACTGTAGGATAGTGGCTACTATACATTGTACTTTTTGTATAACTTGCTAGGAACTTGGGAACTTTTTTTTTCTCTTTAGTGAGTAAAATAAAAGGTCAAGCCAGCCTTATGTTGTCTGTCTTTAATAGAAAATTCCAGAGAAGATTACCAAGCTAGCCTCTTAGATTTCTTGAGTCTAAAACTATTACTACATACAAGGTTTACTTATTTATATATATATTTATAAGTATATAATATATTGATAATATTTATATATAAATATGGATAAAGTATGCATATACTTATAATAGTATAAAAATTCACATGTAAACAAAAACAAAGCTATTTAATAGGTAATGACTGAATTATTTTGATCACATAAAGCTTTTATTTTTAGGCTGTAAATTATAGAATGAGTATAGATTTAAAATTATCTTCATCACTTTTCTACATTGACAGCCTGTGGAAAAATTATCAGCCTAATATTTTGCTGAAATGGCCTCAGTTATTTCTAATTACAACATTAAAATTTTAAAATTTATATAAATTTTATAGTTCTTTGGCGTTCCCAGTTTCAACAAATATTAGCCGAGCACCTTCTTATACCAGACACAACATTAGATGCATTTATCTAAATATTATCTTTAGATAAAATGAGACAAATCACTGATGTCTGCTGTAACCGAGACTGATATTATATTACTTTTTATATTTATACTGGTTTCTCTTTAACTCAGTAATCACTATTTTAGGCCATTCAAGGAACAAATTTTGAAGCAAATTTTAAAAATAATTTATTCTGTCTGTCATTCTTTGTCTTTTGCATTCTCCTCCAAAAGCAGCCTTAGACAAGGTTGTTGAGGGAAAACTGGCATTTATGCAAAATCAGAGAGCACATGTGTTAGACATTTCCAAATCAAGCCCACATAGAGAGGGAATACAGAGTCTGAGTTACTGCTGAGCCCAGCAAGCTGCTTCTTTGCATGGTAGAGCAGATTGAAATCAGCGAAGAGGTGTTGAGTAGATGCAGTCATTTTATTCACTTGCCCTCTATCAAGTAAGGCAATAACCCAGGCAGTCTCATCTTTTAGCTCCTACTGCCACCTTTTAGAGCCACCATCAAAATCTGGATCCTAAAGAATAATGGACAGCTGATTTATTTCTTGGCAATTATTCAGCTAGTTCCAAAATGTATAAAATTTTCTTCCTTCAAATCCATGTTCTGCTGGAGTGAAGGAATTTGTAACAGCTTTATAGCTTCATTTAAAGGAGTTTCATAATTTCCATAGCAACAGATAACCATGTCACATATTTTGGAACAAGGTCAAGTTCTACTCCAGACTCAAAATGCTATGACAGGATAATTCTGCAGTTAATGGAAACAGGTAGAAATATAGAAGCAGGGATACCTTCCAAGACACATTATATCTTTAACTAAGCTCAAGTTCATTTTTAGGCTGATTTAGCTCTAGAGAGAATTTAAGTGGCTGGGAAAAGAAAAAAAAAAAAACCAACACAGATTGTATTAAGACGCTACCCTAATGCTGACAACCTGAGAAACAGTATTTTTCGTCCTGATCTTGACAATAAAATCTGACCTGTGTGGCCATAGTAAGAGAGTATAAATTACACTGAGGGATACTCTTTGCAAATTTTTAAGGTATGAATATTATTTGTAAATTACTTAACCATAGGGTATCTTGCTCTATCATGTTAGGAAAGCTGTTGGATTCTAAAATTGCCATTGATTCGTACAATCTTAATCCAGCCCTTAGATTGTATCAACTTTCTCTGTTAGTAATATCTTCCTAGATTTTGGGTTTACTTAAATTTATAGATTAAATAAAGGAAATATAAAACTCAATCTATTAGGATCACTGATTTCCTCTGTAATTCCTACACAATTCTGACAGTATAAATGAAACTTAATTCTGGGGAAGTTCAAAAAAGACATTCCGGCAAAAAATGAGACCGTTTAAATGCTTCAATTTTTAGCATTTTTATGTTAAATGCCAACATAGTAAGAAATTACAAGTTTGGCAAATATATTTCAATAAAAATATAATGAGAATCCAGTCTCCTGCATAGAGGAATGCTTATTACACACTATGTATACATTGTATTATTATCTCCTTTTCAGAAACCTCATCTTATCTCAATCCATAGAAACACTATCTGAAATGCTGCATGTTTATTTATTCAATATTGAGTGCCAACAATGTGCCAGGCAAAGCTGTAGGGATTGGTAACACAATAATAAGACAGGCATGAACAAAGCATGTAAAAGAGTGGATATTCCTCAGAATAAATCTGGATCATTGAAAGAGACAAAGAACAAAAAAAAACTTTGTTGGACAAGGAAGTTGACTATATTGTCAGTTTGCTCAAGCCAGAATTTTCCCACTTTAATACTTTTGAGTAATTGAAACAAACATAGATAATTTTTCAGTCACCTTTGCTATTAGAATGTGTTACGCTAGCCGTTAGTAGTTTTAAGACTTAAAAGTACATTTTGGGGGAAACAACTTAAACATTCAGAGGAGATGCTTCTCTCAGTTTCAATTTGATCAAACATTTAATATATTTTCTTCTGAAAAGTGATACTTTTGTTCAATGTTTCTCAATGTGTGCTTTTAAATAGCCTCAAGATGCTCCCCCCAAAAATGAATGCTCAGGATACTGTAGTCAATTTTCAAAAATAAATAATAAACAGAGTACTGGATTATCTTCATCGTCACCCTTGGGGCATCTTATGATAAGTGGGTCTGTGTGCAATGTTCAGGCATAATAAGTTTCGGATTCTCATTCTTATCTCAGAAGTATTGTTTTTATTATTGTTTATTTTTCACCTCATATACCAAAGAACAATTCCACCTACCATTACAGTTTGCTATGTGACCTGGAATTTTCCTTATTACAGGAGTAGGATGCGTGGAATATCCTGGCCTAGAGTTCTATTAAGGAGTGAGTGCCTCTTGCAATATTATGTCTTCCTGGTTTGCCTACTAATGTACCAAATATGGATATTGTACATCTTTCTAGACGTAACATCAACAAATTGGGAAAAAAACACAGATTTCATGATTCATATAATAAAATATGTCACAAAAAAATAATATACTTTAATACCTTGATGGTACCCCAAATCTTTTGCATTGATTCTAACATTTTCACTCTGTATTTCATTTTAAAACAAGTGTCAACCCCTAGAGTGTACAATGAATGTGTTCTGCTAAACTCTATTAACAAAGGACCCTATTTGAAAATATGAGAGCTAATTTTATTTTTCTCCTGATAGAAAAAAAATAATTGCAATAAAAAAACTAAAATTTAAATTTCCAACTTAGCTGAATTCTGAATCAAATATGGTTTTCTTTTCAAAACATAGGCTAATTTTTGAGAAAATAGGTTTGATTAAAGTAAGCTATGGATGAACTTCTACCTTAAGAATTCTTTTAAACATAATGGTAATATAAAAATAGTATTATTCTTCATAATACTGTGACTTTGGAGGATAAGTCAACAAGGAGTAGAAGAGCAAAAAGTATCTGTAGAAATTCATAAGTGGAGTAATCCATTATGCATCTATAGTCGTAAGTTTGAAGACTACAACATTTTTACTCATAGTTATTTCATATTTTTAACAAGTAGAGTTTCAGAAATACATTGGGACTACTCAATATTATGTGTATATATATATATGTAAATATATATATGACAAGTGCAATGTCATCTTGACAACATAAACAAATGTGAACATTTTCTTTAATGATTTGCTTCTAACAGCATGTTCACATAAGCAAATAAAATATTTTTCCTGAGAAAAATTTATGGAGGATAAAAAACACATATAGATTCTCCAGGGCCCAAGCACTGATGCGGTGTTTGATATAGTTAATTTCATGAAAAATTCTAGTTTTGAGATCTTTGAACTGGGCCATTCTCTTTCAACTTTTGTTAGGCTGTAAATTTTTATGAAACAGTACAACCATCGCTAATTCAGTTATAGCTAAATAATTTTTTTTATTTTATTTTTATTTTTTGAGATGTATTTGTGCTCTGTCACCAGACTGGAGTACAGTGGCAAGGTCTTGGCTCACTGCAACCTCTGCCTCCCTAGTACAAGCGATTCCCCTGCCTCAGCCTCCTGAGTCGCTGGGATTACAGCCATGCGCCACGACGCCCCGCAATTTTTTTGTATTTTAGTAGAGACGGGGTTTCACCATGTTGGCCAGGATGGTCTCGATCTCCTGACCTTGTGATCCACCCGCCTCCGCCTCCCAAACTGCTGGGATTACAGGCGTGAGCCACCGCACCTGGCCAGTTATAGCTAAATAACTATATTTTAATAATCTATTTGTGCTCTTAGAATCATCTCAGTAAATGTAACTAAACTGAATAATTATGAGTTTAACAACATGAATGCAATCAGTTATTCCCTAAACGGCAGTTTTAAAACTCTTCTAAAGTTTATTTTTCATTTTTTAAAACTTCATCTTAAATCCTGTCTCTCATTTATAAATATACATCAATAAATTATAATTTCTAAGAAATCTTAACTGTAAGTCCTTCTCCAAAGAATAAGTGCATCTCCATAATTCTTAATTAATCAACATATTAAGCTAAGTAATAAAGTAACATAAATGATGAAAATATGAGAATATCAGTTATAAAACATTTTTATAAAACAATCCCAAGTATCAAGAAGAATAAGTTTCTATTTCAGATATTCAAAAACTCTCCCAATACCAGCTTAAAAAAACAAAAAGTAAACAAACACAAAATTGTTGGTTCCTTCCAGTTGCCACCTTCTTCTCTTCCTCTTCCTTTTTTTTTTTTTTTTTGAGACAGTCTCGCTCTGACACTCAGGCTGAAGTGCAATGGCAGGATCTCGGCTCATTGCAACCTCTGCCTCCTGGGTTCAAGCGATTCTCCTGCCTCAGCCTCCCAAGTAGCTGGGATTACAAGTGCGTGCCACCACACCCAACTAATTTTTTGTTTGTTGGTTTGTTCTGTTTTGTTTTGTTTTTTGAGACGGAGTTTCACTCTGTCGCCAGGTTGGAGTGCAGTGGCGCGATCTCAGCTCACTGCAACTTCCGCCTCCCCGGTTCAAGTGATTCTCCTGCCTCAGCTTCCCGAGTAGCTGGGACTACAGGGTCCCACCACCATGCCCAGGTAATTTTTATATTTTTAGTAGAGACAGGGTTTCACCATGTTGGCCAGGATGATGTCGATCTCTTGACCTCATGATCCGCCTGCCTCGGCCTCCCAAAGTGCTGGGATAACAGGTGTGAGCCACCACACCCAGCCTTTTTAAAATATTATTATTTTTCGTAGAGATGGAGTTTCACCATATTGGCCAGGCTGGTCTCGAACTCCTAACCTCAGGTGTTCCACCCATCTCAGCCTCCCAAAGTGCTTCCTCTCTTTAAATAGCAAACTCTTAGATATCAAACTTCTTCCAAGAACACTATCCTCACTTTGCACTTACTGTTTTGACACTTAAATGTGGATTCTAACACCTACCTAAAACATTTCACTGATTGTCATAGATGCTTCAATTTCCAATCTTCCCTTTCTTTGCCTTTGGCTTTTTAAAACTTTTCAGAACCTCCAACAACCTAGAGTTTATTTTCCTGGATTGCCGAACACCATGCTCTCCTGTTTTCTCCTATGCCTGTGGCTCTTCCTTCTTAGTCTTTTGGTGGTTCCCCTTTTCTATCTTTTCTCAAATTTTTAAAACATTTAGATTTTGTCCTAGGCACTTTTCTCAATACATTCAACCTTGTCTTTCTCCCTAGACTTTTATGCACTCAGATAACTGAGGTTTCCCATGGAGCAGATGATGCCCAAGTTTTCACCTCCAGTGCAGATCTCCGTTCTCACATACCATCTGCTTAGTAGATGTCTCCATGTGGTTATACCAGAAACTCAAAACAGATTTGCAATTCCCTTGAAACCTTCCACTATTCACTACAGTGTACTTGTGGTCTAGCATTCTCCCTCTCTGCAAAAGATACCCCCATCTATGCAGTTGCTGGAGTCAAAAATCTGAGAGCAGCTCTTTTTTTGTGTTTGCGGGGTGGGGGATCACTTTCATTCCTAATATTCTCTTATCTCTTTTCCAATCAAACACATACCAATACAGTTAATCATACCTCATAAACATTTCTCAGCTCTATTCCTTATTTATTCTCCAACCTCTGTGTACCACAATCATTGTTCTTCAAGACTACAGCAATCGTCTCTTAACCCTTCTTTTCTACCACTGTTTCTCTTCAATCTATTCTGCACATCATTATCAGAATGACATGTGAAAAAGATTTCTGATTAAGTCACATCTCATTTAGAATCCATTACTGTTTTCTGAAATTTGTTTAATGTCCACAGATCTTTACATAATTTCAATATCTAGTTTTATCTGGCCTCATACTTCTTTTCAAAATTTATTTTATTCCACTCTCCTCTTGTCTACCTACATTTTAGTGATTCTGAACACTATTTAATTAATAAAGCATGTCACAATCACTCCAGACTTATGTCCTGTTCATATGCTAATATTTCTGCTGAAAAAAATGATTTTAATTCCCAGTCTACCTCCCACACATATATTATGCCAGCTAATTCATAGATGTTCCTAAAATCTCAAATATCATAAGCTCCTGACAAATTAAACTTTATATTATAAGCAAATTTATGTGTCACCATAACATTGTGTAATTTGTCCTTTATTCCTCCATTTGTTTTACAATGTTGATCTTCTTAACGGGACCATACAGTTAATGACATCAGAGACTAGGTTTCCCTTGCACTATATTCCAGAATCTGGCATAATGACTGGCACAGAGCAAATAATGGATACATACATGTTTATTTAAATTCATTTTAAAAAGTTTCATTTGTTAAGAAAGTACAGAAATGACAACACAGAAAAAAATTAAACGTGTATCTAACAGGTAAAAATTAATAAAAAAGTATGGCAAAAATATTTGTGTATGATTTCTATTTAGTCTTTATAATAACCCTTCAATGTGGTCATTATACCACATTTTACAGAACAGAAAGCTGAGTTCAGAGAAGCTAAATATCTTGCAATTCCTTGTAGCTAATAAATAAATGACAAGTCCTTATTGTAACATAAAGGGTCTTTTCTGATCTGGTCAACACTTTCTTCATCAGAATAAGGTCTTTCTGTTGTTCCATTTATATCCTATATATCAGCTATAAGACATGATTACAGTTCCCCATTAACACATTAATGCCTGAGGTTGCAATTTTTTGAATTTTTGCAATCAGACCTTTGTGTTGACCTTGAGCAGTAGGATATAAATAATTCCCACATGCTTAGCGTTCCAATCATGGAACACTAGGCATAAATGGCCAAATATGTTTGTGCTTCTGAGTCTTTCATCCTGTTTCCATCTGATGTGAGGCTATTTTATTTCTTGACCTTCATACCACCTCCCAGACATTGGAAATCTTGTTTATTCCCTTGAATCTTATACTTTTCAGTTAAATAGTTAACATTGTGATAGTGTCTTTGTCACCCAAATCTAGTCAAATGCCCCTCTTCTGCACCAGGAGCACCAATGATCACCTTTATTTTAACGTACCTCACTAAAGTTGACCCTTGGACAATAAGGGTTTGGACTGTGCAGGTCCACTTATATGTGGATTTTTGTTCAATAAATATGTTGGTTTTTTTTTTTATATTTGTGACAAGTTGAAAAAACTCACAAACTGTGTCACCTAAAATATTGAAAAAATTAAGAAAAAAGTATGGCATGAATACATAAAATATATGTAGCTACTAGTCTATTTTATTATTTACTACCATGAAATGTACATATATCTATTATAAAAACTTAAAATTTATCAAAATTTGGGCACACAAAGACCGTACATGGCACCATTCACAGTTAAGAGAAATGTAAACAAATGTAAAAATGTAGTATTGTAACTGCATAACATTTACTGCATTATATACTGTTCTACAGTCATAATTTCATAGCCAGCTCCTGTTGCTATTGCGGTGAGCTCAAGTGTTGTGAGTATCCTCTTAAAACACAATGTGAGGTGGATCATCTCTGCATCAGCAGTTCATCTCTCCAGTAAATTGCATATCACAGTAAAAAGTAATCTCTTCAGGTTCTCATGTATTTTTGTCATGTTTAATGCAATACCCAAACCGTGAATAACACCATGGGACCCATACAAAGTGGCACTAGTGATGCCGACAGTACTCCCAGGCAACAAAGTCATGCCATTACAAGAAAAAGTGGAATTGCTTAATATATGCTATATAGATTGAGGTCTGCAGCTGAGGTGGACCATCATTTCAGACAGATGATTCATCTTGCAAACAGATGATAAACACAGTACACTACTCTAAATGTATTTTTTCTCCCTTATTATTTTCTTAATAACATTTTCTTTTCTCTAGCTTGCTTTATTGGAAAAATACACTCTATAATACATATAACATGCAAAGTATGTATGTTAATCAACTGTTATTTTATCAGTATGTCTTCTGATCAACAGTAGGCTATTAGTAATTAAGTTTGGGGAAAGTCAAAAGTTTTATGCAGATTTTTGGTGGTGTAGGTGTTGGCACCTCTAACCCCTGTGTTGTTAAGAGTCAACCATACATTGCAAATATTTACATGTCTCCTCCATAAATTATAAGCTCCTAGAGATCAGATACTATGTAATTCTCAACATTATATTCCAGGTACCTATGAAAGTGCCTGACATATTGGAGATGTTGACTATATATTTATGTAGTATTAAATAAATGGATGCAAGAGCCAGGGTTTAAGCTCAGATCTGTCTCTTAAGAAGCTCATGACTTTTCAGTATATGCAGAAAATTGGTAATGGATATAACTAAAATCTAGTAGATTATTTGAGAGTCTACAAATGCTGAGTGAGGAAGAAAGACACAGTTACAAAGTTAGAAGCATTTCAAGGCACTTTATTAGTTATTTAGGAAACGACTATTTCATAGCACAAGAAAGCCAACATAAATCACAATGTCAAACCAGCCATGCTTGTTGCCATGATGCCTTTTCCAAAGGAAAATGAGAAACTAAGATATTTTTCATGCCCTTTGATTTGTGTGGGCAGAAAAGTAAAGGGGAGTGTTTCAACACAATAATCTGTTCATTTTCAGAAGAATAAACAAAAGCTAAAGGAATTCACTTTTATTAGTTCCAAAATTAATGTTAAATAAATTTGAATGTTTCACAATAGAGTAGACTTTAGCAGACCTGCTGTAGGCCCAATGCTACAAAAATAAATTGAATTATAAATATGCAACTGTGGTCCACAAATATTTTTTATATAGTTACAGGATGAATTCTTAAGTAATGATGTCCCTACCCAAGTCACTATCTAATGGTATGAAATACAACAGTTTTGAGCTACATTGACCTTACAGGTCCCTCCTCTTACTTCATGAACTTCAGTGCCCACTCCAGAAAAACTTACATATTTACTTTTATCTTAAGAAAGATAAGTGTACCCTTTCATATATTTTTGAATAAATTGTAGGATGTTCTGTATTTAATTGAAAGGCAGGCAACCTAAACCTTAGTTATAATTTATGCCAGTCTTTCAACCAGGACCAAGTTTTGTTGTGGTTTACTCATTAAAATAATATTTAATGCACAAGAAATAATATTTAATCTAACATTATATATGTAAAATACATTAAGAGAAATTTTCAGTAAAATCAGTCTTAGAATGTATTGTCATACTTTCTTTGTGAAAATGTGCATGCCATACTACATTTGAATAATAGTCTTAGAAGCTGTAATAATAATAGCAGAGCTGTCTTGTATAGAAAACTTGCCATGAATCCTTAAAAATAAATATATGTTATTTTAGAAATGAGGAAATTAAGGTTGAATTATTCTAAGTTAATTTTCTATTATCACACAACTACTAAAAGGTAGAGCAAGATAATCAGTCAGCCTGTCTCTAAAACCCACATTCTTACTCATCTCTATCAATTGTTTCAATGCCGTAGAAGCTGAAATGAATTCTTGTTCATCAAAAAATGAAAGAGAATTCCTGTGACCTCGCCCATCACCTCAACATTGCTGCCTGGATCTTTGCCACTGAGATGATTCTATTAGTAAAATTGTAAGTGAGATAGTTCTATGATGAGAAATTCACAGTAATTTCAATCAAGTCATTTGCATTAAAATAATCTTACAAAGAATTATACACTGTATTTTGGGGGTTACTATGAGACCCATGTATATCATCTATACAATGTGTTCTCATAAAACATGTTCATTATTTCTTTTCATACATGTCAATGCTAAATTTACTAAGAGAATTACAATATGTGCTGACATTAACATCTGAAAGTTATTTTCATTTTAATAGCTGTAGCTATATCTTATTAATATTACAGTCCCCCTTATATTTACACATATGCTAAAAGCCTATATTTCATTCTGTCTTGAATCATAATTAATTACTTATGTGCCTAAATACCTCAGAGGGCAGTATTAGGGAAGGGACAATGTTTAATTCTTCTTTATAACCTCCCTGATCTTAGCATAAAGCTTAGTACTTAGTAACAACCCTAAAGTTTGGAGTATTAAAATCCATAATTCACATCTCATCTTTTTTTTCCTCTCCTCTGTCTATCTATCCATGTAGTTTAGATTATTTTTGTTTAAACTACCTATTTATCACAATTCATTGATTAACATATAGTTTAGAATGTTCATGTGACAAGTGTTCATTTAGATTTAAAAATTTTTAAGGAAAAGGCCTAAAGACCTTTACTTAAGAAGAGAATAAAATGATTGAGTAATTATTAGGGCATATTCAGTAAAATTACTTAATGATTGCAAATTGTGGCAAATCGTGCTTTCCAGACTAGATGGCCACATCCGTAGTCCCCCTCACAAATGTTCTTCTTTCAACATACTTTTTTTCTGTCACTTTTCTTATTAAGAGGCAGAGTGTATAACCTCTTTCCTTGAATCTATGCTGGTTTGTTATTCTGAATCCAGAGGAAGTGACTGTAATTTCTGAAAGTAGCTGGTAAAGGCCATATATCTTCCATCTGGTTCTCTTGAAATGCTCACTTAGAATCCTGAACTGCCATATAAGCAGTCTGACTACTGCCATGCTGTGAGGAAGTCCAAATTATGCCAGGCCGACAGAATAAATGAAGAGTTTCTGAGATTACATGAAGACAATGATATGCCTGGATATCTCTTTCCGTTATTCTAACCCCCTCCCCGAGTGTTTTTGTTCCATCTACTATCTGACTGAAATGGAATTAGAGACCCTATGAAAGAACTTCTAGTCATGAAAACACACAGAATATGAGATATAATACAATTTGATTGTTGCTTTAAGCCACTAATTTTTTAGATGATCTGTTATACAGCCAGAATAAATGAGGCACCGATTTTTCTTATAATAGAATATAAATTCTTTTTACATGTTTTATTTTTATTTATTTATTTTAGAGACAGGGCGTCATTTTGTTGTGCAGACTGAAGAGCTGTGGGGTGATCATAGTTCACTGTAAACTTGAACTCTGGGGCTCAAGAAATTCTCCTGTCTTAGCTTCCCAAACTGCTGGAATTACAGGTATGAGCCACTGCACCTGACCTAGAATATAAATTATTTCAGAACAGCATCTAGGGATAATTATGTGCCTACAGTTAATACATAAATATTTGCTGAAGACTTGATTAGATATACCTCATTTTGGACATGCAGGTCCCATATTACATTTTAAACATTCATGGTAACTGATAGAATAAGGAAATACCAACTCTGCAAATATTATATGCAAATAATATTTAATTAGTGTATCTAATATCTCTTGCTCATATTTGGGGTCTTTAATTCACAATGTTCATATTTAATCATTTTCAATTGGTTTAAATTTTAAAAACTGAAATTACTTTTTCTGTTTTTACAAATAATAGTTGACTTTCATTTTACATTATTTGTTTTAAAAAACAGAGCTTATTTTTTCTAATTTTCTCTAGTTTTAAAAACCTTCTAGATATTACTAATGTTTATGATTTTGACAACTTTTCTTATTGATATCTTATTATCAAGGGTTAATGTCAATATTGCATTCATTAGGAAGGTGTATGAATAAAGATTCTTTAAAATTATTATTTTCACGAATGTTTCTCTGTAATTTTTACTGTTAGTGTGGCATTCAATAATATGTAATAAAAGGAGACTATCTCAGCCTATACATTATTAAAAAATTACATTAAGCCATTACTCCAAAGACTGGGAATCACTTCTTTTTGTTTTATGTCTTGTATGTGCCTTTGGAAAGTGGTAAGTTCAATACATTTTTAAGCACTTGTGAGTAGATCATGTAGATCATGACTAGATTATCTTCATTACTTCCTTCTCTGTGAAGAAGAAGTGTAGTCACATAATTATTCTAAAATGCTTTTTCTCTTTCTTGTAGTTTATTCCTTTGTAATAAAAATACATATCATTTAGCCTTATAACTAAAGCATTACTTGATTAAAGTAGTATCAACTGCTGTCAAAATAAGTTTCTGGAAAAAAAAAATCAAGCAATGGTCAAGAAATCATTATCAAAGTGTATTATTATGTGATATATGTGAAAGTTTTGTTATCTTTCCCATAGAAACCATTCCAACAATGACAAGGAAAGTAATCTTAGTAGGACAGGGAAACTTACCACACCCATCTGATGGAATGAGATGTGTAACAATCCAATGGAGATGTGTAACTACCTTTGCTTTCAGTCTCTGTAACTCAGCTTTTTGGGCTCCATCGAGATACTTCTTCCAGTCGCTATGTTCTACATGAAATGAATCACTCATCAGGATAAAGAAAGTTTCGTTTTTTAGAGTACATTGACATTCCTTTTGCTGCCAGCATCACTCCATATTGATGATCTCATTTAGTCTTGTAGGATGCAAGAATATTGCATTCTTTTATTTTATTTGAATCTTTTCTTTTAAAGTTGTTCTCAAAGTTGACAGAAATCATGTTGATCAAAGTTGGCCCTGCCTGGTTTAATCATATTTAAAAGCTTTCAAGATAATAAATAAATTTTAAATTCTGCCTTATTGACTTTATAAGCTTTTTATTACAAGATTTTTAAAGGAAACTATCATTTACGTTAAATGTTGCTTAAATATCCTGATTTGTGATGTTCAACTTTGTTTTAGAGTTCCTACGAGCACCATAAAGCAATGCGTAGTTAAAGAAACTATAGTTTGCTAAATCTGACATCTACAGAGGATCAGTAACTTACACTATTTTAAGACCTAGGAAAATCCACATTTGTCTTTAAAGCCACATATTATCAAGTATTACTCTCTTCCAGCCACCACCATTAATGAATTATATTAATTCCATTATGGCAAAAATTACTCAAAATAAAGAAAGGAAAATCTTAAGAATTTTATGACCCTCAAAGAACTTTTAAAGGTATTTTGCTTATGTATCTTAGCTATTTTAAGAGAAATAGCTAAATACTTGCATGGAAAATGAAACATATAATACAAAACACACATGATGGATACAGTACCTCTTTTGCCTCTTAATACGACTATCAATTCTTTGCACTTCTACTTACCCAGTCTTGATTATTTCCAGAAAAAAAATTTTTAACAATTAAATATAATGTAACTAGCCCATGCTTTCCAGTTGAGGAAATAAAATGACACATACGTCTTTTTCATGCTAATGCAACCGTGCATAATGAAATCCATATCAGCATTTTCAAGTTCCATGTTTGTGTGTATATTTACAACACAGTTCTAGACTATGCATCCTAGCTAATGTTAAATACCTAAGTATAGTGTTTTGAGCACAACCTTATGTCAAACCCTGACCCAACTATGTACATTAGAACCTCAAGATGTTAGGCACAGTGAGTCCCATTGTTGTAGGGGCTAACATTTACACAATTTTCTAACCCTTTTTAATAAAAAAAAAATTACAAATGTAAAATTAGAAGTAAAAGTGAATATTTAAAATAAGAAAACAAATCATGACAAGCTACGTTTTTAAAAGTTGGCACATACCAAGAAAATCACAATATATAGAAAAAATATTTTTTACAAATAAGGGACCACACATGACACAGATATATAAAACACATTTTTCTTATATTTATGGTAGTATTATCTTTGACTACCTCTTCACAAGACTGCAATTTTGTGATATTAATATCTCTAGTGAGAATGTAAAAGTAATCCGGTCTTCTGGCTACTATGAATTATCTTTTTGTTGTTGTTATCAACAGCTCAGAATTGTACTTAGCTTCACAACTATAAATTGTGAGCATTGTCATTTTTGGTAGATTCTCCACCAAGTTTCATTTTGTAGGAACTCTAAGATTTTGGAGGAATTTTTTTTTATGCCTGTTTGTTTCTTTTGGTATGGTGATTAATCTTAAACACGCTTTGAATTTTTAGTATTCATCAATTACTTTGCTACAGTCCCTCCCAGGGGTTTAGAAGGGCACAGGAGATCAGGGGCACTGTTAACTTAAGCAAGTGAGACACTCATTTTAATAACCTTTTTATGTTTTAATTTATAAGGATACATAATAGTTGTTTAGATTTATGAGGTCCATGTGATATTTTAATGCAAGCATACAATGTGCAACAATCAATAAGGGTAATTGGGATATTCATCATCTAAAACATTTATTATTTATTTGTGTTGGTAACATCTCAAATCTTCTCTGCTAGTTATTTTGAAATATGCAATAAATTATTATCAACCACAATTGCCCTTCTGTGTCACTGTCCTATTCCTTTTAACTGTATTTCTGTGCCTATTTACCAAAGCTTTTATAGCTCTCCCTCTCAGCCTCTGGTAACCACCACTCTACTCTCTGCCTCCATGAGGTCAATTTTTTTAGCTCCCACATATGAGTGAAACCATGTGCTATTTGTCTTCATGAGTCTCGCTTATTTCACTTAGCATAATGTTTTCTAGTTCCATCATGTTAGTGCAAATGACAGGAGTTCATTCTTTTTATGGGTTAATCATATTCCACTGTGTGTACATACCATAATTTATTTATCTATTCATCTTTTGATGAAAACTTAGGTTGACTCCACATGTTTGCTGTTTGTGAGTAGTGCTGTAATAAGCATAGGGGTGCAAGTATCTTTTCAATATACTGATTTCCTTTCTTTGGATATATACCAAGCTTCTGGATTGCTGGATCACATGGTAATTCTATTTTTATTTTTTTGAGGAACCTCCATACTCCTTTCCATAGCAGCAGTACTACTTTACATTCCTGCGAACAGGAATACTTCCCTTCCTTTACATCATTGCCAGCATCCATTGTTACTTGTCTTTTTGTTAAAAGTCATATAACTGGGATGAAAAAAATCTCATAAATAATAAGATAAAACGCATTTTAATATAATATATTTATTTATTTTATTTTTTAGATGGATTCTTGCTATGTTGCCCAGGCTGGAGTGCAGTGGCAAAATCTCGGCTCACTGCAACCTCTGCCTCCAGGATTCAAGAAATACTCCTGCCTCAGCCTCCCGAGTAGCTGGAATTATGGGTGGGTGCCACGACGTCCAGCTAATTTTTGAATTTTTACTAGAGACGGGGTTTCACCATGTTGGCCAGGTTGGTCTCAAACTCCTGACCTTAAGTGATCTGCCCACCTCAGCCTCCTAAAATGCTGGGATTACAGGCGTGAGCCTGTAATGGGTTAATATATTTTTTAAAACACCAGCATAAACACACACACACACACACACGCACACGCACACGCACACGCATATACATTTAATTTTCACTTTGCTCAGGCTCCAGTATGGTCTTACATGGCACTGCATGGCAGTAAACTGCTCCTCAACTTCAACTTGGGTAGCTGTATGTTAAGCTTCCCTCCAAGAGATAACATTACCATTATTATTCTACAGCAAGAAAGACTTACAGTTGTTATGTAATGGTAAAAGCTTGTAACACTGGTAACATTCCAACACTGTTCTGAGCAATTCATAGTTGTTTCACACTTACTCCACACTACAACCCTGTGAAATAAGCATTTTTATATATTTTTATGTTAAATTAAATGAAGGGTAGAGGGTCCTGAGTAATCATAAGTAGGAAGTATCAGACTTGAATCTAATTTCCTCTGATCCTAAAGTCAGAGCTATTAATGGCTATACTGTATTGCTGTCTAATAATAATGTATCTTGTCAGTGAAAAATAAGCCAAGTGATAACAAATCTTGTACCCATTGGTGCTATTCTACTTCATTTTTCTGCAATGAAGGCTTACTCCAGCATGTAATTTTAAAATTAGAAAAAATAATGGAAATTGTTTATGACTCAAAAAAAAGACTAAAAATAATTGTTCTTGAAATCATACAACCCAAGAAATAATACTTGATTTAGATTTTTGCAAAAAGCTTATTTGAACAGTATATGCAATTTTTCTTTCCTGCACTCCCAAGGTTATAACAGAAAAGACAAACAAATTTATTTTAAATGTTTATAAATCCACAACTTGTCAAGCATATTATCAAGCCCTGGCATTTTCCTGCTATCAAAGCATATTAGCACAATCTCTTTATTGTTCCAAAGTTTCTAAGGCAAACCTTACATCTTCTGTCTGAATGCCAGTGGAAGAGTTTCCACAGGAGTGCTCTCATAAAACTCAAGAGATTTTATTTCCTTTCTTTAGCTCTCTCACTACCTGTATAAATTCACCATGTGTTTATGGATTCCAAAGTACTGCCTCAGGATTTAAACATGTGTATAATAAATACATGTATTGAAGCCCACTATTACAGGGGTTATTAAATTTTATAATTTATATAATGAGCAGGAAGCCAGAAGTAAAAGTCCTTGTTTGACCCAAGTTACTGTCGGTTTCACAACTCATCAGAGAAGAAAAAAGAACAACTGTGGAAAAGATGTCAGGCATCTTAGATGGCTACTCTGGTTAGACTGAGGCTTTTTCCCATATGCTACCTTGAAGAAAGAGCACAGAACAGTCAGGATGCATGAGTAGGCAGGAGGCGCTCTCCAGCCTTTGCTGTCATTTCTGTTCTAAAGAACAAGTTCCCAGAGGCCTCTACTATGTGATATTTGTCAGCCAATTATTTGTGGAATAGGAAGAAATGGGAGGCAAAAACATGGTAGATGAAGTTCTGCCTCATTCCCCTGACCTGGTAAAAATGACAGAGCATTCCCCAGAAGCCTGGATTTGCTCTTATTTGTTTCCATGGAAGACAAATGATAGAACTTTATTTAACCCCAAAGCTCAGAGGAAATGCATAGGGAGGAAATAGACAGATGGAAATAATACCACCACTTTTACCCTCAAGATGGGAAAATGTTATGTTATCTTTCTTTATTATCAAATTGAATAAATAAATAAAAAGCCTACTTCTTTTATTTTTTATTATTATTATACTTTAAGTTTTAGGGTACATGTGCACAATGTGCAGGTTAGTTACATATGTATACATGTGGCATGTTGGTGTGCTGCACCCATTAACTCCTCATTTAGCATTAGGTATATCTCCCAATGCTATCCCTCCCCCCTCCTCCCACCCCACAACAGTCTCCTGTGTGTGATGTTCCCCTTCCTGTGTCCATGTGTTCTCATTGTTCAATTCCCACCTATGAGTGAGAACATGCGGTGTTTGGTTTTTTGTCCTTGCGATAGTTTGCTGAGAATGATGGTTTCCAGCTTCATCCATGTCCCTACAAAGGACATGAACTCATCATTTTTTATGGCTGCATAGTATTCCATGGTGTATATGTGCCACAGTTTCTTAATCCAGTCTATCATTGTTGGACATTTGGGTTGGTTCCAAGTCTTTGCTATTGTGAATAGTGCCGCAATAAACATACGTGTGCATGTGTCTTTATAGCAGCATGATTTATAGTCCTTTGGGTATATACCCAGTAATGGGATGGCTGGGTCAAATGGTATTTCTAGTTCTAGATCCCTGAGGAATCGCCACGCTGACTTCCACAATGGTTGAACTAGTTTACAGTCCCACCAACAGTGTAAAAGTGTTCCTATTTCTCCACATCCTCTCCAGCACCTGTTGTTTCCTGACTTTTTAATGATTGCCATTCTAACTGGTGTGAGATGGTATCTCATTGTGGTTTTGATTTGCATTTCTCTGATGGCCAGTGATGGTGAGCATTTTTTCATGTGTTTTTTGGCTGCATAAATGTCTTCTTTTGAGAAGTGTCTGTTCATGTCCTTCGCCCATTTTTGATGGGGTTGTTTGTTTAAAAAGCCTACTTTTACAATTTAAATGTTCTTCATTTTGGATAGGTTTCTAAACACAGTCATCTTGACTAATTAGCACTTAATATGTTCCTTTTTCATGCCAGGATATGTACTTAATTAGTGATGTTATTAACACGATCCATAGTGCACTTAAACATGTAAAACATCAGGAAGTAGCATATTCTCAATAATATATTTATTATGCATACAGCCTCTAATACTGAGTGATTCCTTGAATATGTAAGTCCATTATGCCATTAATTTAAAATTTTTCAGTCAGTATTCCAAACTTTCTGATAAAAATTTTAATTCCATTGTAGAATGAAACATTGCCTCATGCCTTCAGATAGACTTAGTAGTTAGTGCTTCTTTCTGTTATACTATAAGTTATTGTTTAATATCTTTATGCCTTACACTGTAGATACCTTGTCTTTTTTATATTTACACCACAGGAACTTGGTAAAAAGCCTAATTTTCTTATGAGGGAGTCAATAAATGTTTGTTAATTGAAAAAAAATCCAATCAGTCTGTAGGTCTGATATCTGGAAATTTTCAATCAGCTATATTGCTTTGTGGAAATTCTTCCTGACATAAAGATAGTTTAATAAAAGTATGGTTAATCATATCAAAGAAAATTATGTTCAAAATGGATTTAAAATGGTAGATGTGTGAGGAGAATATAAGATGGCAAGATACAACTGAAACAAAAAAAAATTGAAATGAGATTAGCACACCCAACAGAAATAATTTATGGTTCTATTAAAGCAATATGTCATATTGTGGGGAATACATACATATATATGTATGTGTGTGTGTGTGTATATGTATATATATGTATGTAATATGAGGGAAAAGGAGTTGGAAAATCTAATTCGACTTATAATTAAAAGCAAAATTGCTGTGTTGTGGTAAAAATTTCAGGTAAACAGTGGGTCATAATTTTCTGTTGTACCATACAAATAACCTGTAAGATTTCAAGCATGCCAAGACTCATTATTTTTACATCTACACTAAAAATATGAGGATGGGACGTTAAAAGTTTCCCATTTCCTAAATTACCAAAGATGGGCTAATATATACCAGAAAAGGCAAATATAAAGCTATTGTATTACTAACTACTATTCCCTCCCTAGAAGGTATCAAAAATTGTTCCTAACATACTTTTCTAGTGAACTTATATGCAGACTTAGAATTTGGGACATGGCACTTTGAACAACCACAAGCAATCACTAGGAGTTGTCTATTGAGATGAGACATATTTGTTTTTCCTACCAAAAACACACAAAAACATCCTGGTTGAACTTCTGTGCATGCCAGGAACCTGGTTCCAAGTGCACATATGGGAATACATGTGTTGTAGGGAATGGAGGCCAGGAAATGTCTTATGATAGCAGATGGCCAGATAGCCAGTTCACCTCTGGATGACAGTGGCTGCTCTAACAGGACAGTGATGTCAACACTAGCAATGACATTGATATGTCTCAAGTGCTCTCTCAAAGAAATGCCACTCAGTATGAAGTCTCTCCTGAGTCCACTAGCCAGAATACAAATATATATAATGGTTTCAAATGCTTGCTCAAGTAATACTGCAGTGAACACTTTATTTTTTATACATTGTCAAACAAACAGCAGATGATAACATTCAATAATCCTAAACTGGGCAGTGTACGAACTAGTGACTACAACATGATCCATTGAAAAAATATTTTTATTAGCCTCCTGAGCCTTGGTCTTAAAAGTGTCTTCATTCTGCTAATTTTCAATATTGTACTTTTTAATTTTAATTATTTTCATCAAGTCTGCAAGATAGACAGTGAGAGAAAAAGCAATTTTCAGTACACAGTCTTTTAAATCAACTAAATTTCATTCCTTTTTCTCTCCTTTGGGAGCAGAGTCCTGATTTTCAACATAGAAGATCTGGCAGAAAACAACTGCATCTTATTAAATTGCCTGCTGGGCTTACTGAAACTTTAAAAATTATTGTAGAGCTAATCACCACTTTCATTTAGCTGGCAAAGACAACAGATATTTAGTATATCTACCATGTTCCAAGTTCTCTGAACATGATGCCCAACAATGTATAAGAAAGCAAATTTTCAATATGAGTAATTTGGAATGGGGATTTAAAAAACTTTTTGCGCAGGTGATGAAATAAGTTTTTATATGAATCAACAATATTTTCCCCACTAAACTTCTTTTTAAACATTATATACCAACATATATGTAATCTTACATTATATACATAGATATGCAATCTTATGCTATATACAAACACATATTTATACAACTGAATAGCTTATTTGGAAGGCTTTCTTTTGCTCTTGGATATTTCATAAATGCTGTGGCTTATCAACTACCATTGGTACTGATACCTTGAATTAATTATCAACTAGGTTACAGGGAAGCAAATGTTTTGGATATAATTTCAGTAAAATTTTCAGTATGCTCGAAGCATTAATATACCTTGGCTTGGACCCATACTACCCATTCATAGAGTGCAGGAGAGATCATAAGTCCTGAGATAACATTCTAGAGTTGAAGAGACAGACAGAGAAAGAGGAAATAAACTTCTCTGGGTACTAAAAGGAAATAAATGGTGGATCCAAAATGAAAATTGAGGATGTTGATAATTTGTAAAATCAAGCTTTTTTATTGTAATTCAATTTATAACTTCAATTTATGACCTTTAGCCATAGACTTGACTTCTGCTTAACTACTTCCCTAAATCCTGCTCATTGATGTTGTACAAGATATATGTATGTGTATGTGTATGTGTATGTGTGTGTATATTTTTTCTCCCAGGAAAAAATATAGTTATAGATAGAAATAATGGTAATAATGCATTTTCTATCCTCTTAATTTGTTTAAACAGAGCTTTTATTAAGTACATTCATACATTCAATTATTTCATTCATTACTTTCATGAATTCACTAAATATTTATTTTAAGTAGCTCCTATATGTCAGGCATGGCTCTATGTGCTGGGATACAACACTGAAACATGACAACATATTCAAATTTGCATTCTAATGGTAGAGACAAAAATAAACAGTCACATAATATGGGTAGTGGCATGTTTATAAAGAGAAATAAAGCAGGGTAAAGAAACAGATAGCCAGAAGTGTTATTTTAGATAAGGAGGTTAGGGAGTCCTTTCTCAGATGAGACTATTAGCAGAGACCTGAATGTACTACACATTTTGGGAATCTGATGAAGAAAGTCCCTGTTTGACACACCCTCAAGTGGAAAGATTCTGAAAGACGTGAGAACATAGCATATTAAAAAACTGCTGGAAAACAGAGTATTAAAGTGCAGAGTTGAGAAATGACAAGAGGGAGAGGAAATTAGGTTTCCAAGGTTAGTTTTTGTACACAGCCCTTGTAGATAAAGACTAAAGACTTGGATTTTACCTCAAGTGTGATGAATAGGCATTGCAATGTTTTAAAAGAATTACTCTGCCTCTTCTGTAGTGAAGAGAAGTCGTAATGAATAATAGTGGTATAGTAATGGTTGTGAAGTGGAAGCAGAGAGACTAGATGAGAGGTCAGTTAGTAACCTAGATTCTCATTCTAAAGCTGTAATTGCAGAACTGTAACCAATGCTGCTACTACTACTACTACTACCAATAATAATAATATCAACAAAAAGGCCATACTGGTGGAAGTAAGTATTTTATGATTGCATCATTGATGCCTTGCACTGTTCTAAGGGCTCAATATGTAAAATCTTAAGAAACCACCCCTACAATACTAGCAGATAATACTACACTTATCCTGGTTATTCAGTGAATAGTTTGAAACTCAAAAAAGTTAAATAACTTGCCAAAGTCGAACATCTAGTAAATGGTACAGCCAGAAATTTAGTGAGCCCAAATTAATTTTTTGTGCTCAAC
The DNA here is from genome assembly GCF_000001405.40 of Homo sapiens. Taxonomy (NCBI): domain Eukaryota; kingdom Metazoa; phylum Chordata; class Mammalia; order Primates; family Hominidae; genus Homo; species Homo sapiens. Next base: position 54,829,619 of record NC_000010.11, read on the forward strand.
TCCAAAGGCATTGAGTACTCACTCTGTGTTTCAAAATGTTGTCTGTGCATTTCCTCACTAGGCTTCCATGTATCCATGTGTTTCCTAGTTGTCTAACTCAAAAAAGACAATATGGACCACCTGGACAGTTGTAATTTATTCCTGTTGTTTTCATGTCATTATGAATAACCCCTGCTTTTATTCTCAAAAGCATGAAATGTGATTCTAAATGATATGCACACTATAGCTAAGGCTCCAAGATGCTTTTTTGTTGTTATGCACTATCACATCAATGAATGGAGTACACCTATAAATATTATTCCGAATGTGGAGAAATCTCCCCATCTATTTGCAAGGATATCTTTGTTCCTTTGCTCCATTATTTGTAGGGTCTCATGGAAAGAGGCTTGCAGGAAGAGAGTTCTCATTTTCATTCAGATTATCCAATTCTATTACCTCAACATTGAAACATCAAAGTCTATTTTGCTTCTAAATTATAATAACACTTATTAACATAGAAAAAATGTAACTGTTGGTGGGACTGTAAACTAGTTCAACCATTGTGGAAGTCAATGTGGCGATTCCTCAGGGATCTAGAACTAGAAATACCATTTGACCCAGCCATCCCATTACTGGGTATATACCTAAAGGATTATAAATCATGCTGCTATAAAGACACATGCACACGTATGTTTATTGTGGCACTGTTCACAATAGCAAAGACTTGGAACCAACCCAAATGTCCAACAATGATAGACTGGATTAACAAAATGTGGCACATATACACCATGGAATACTATGCCGCCATAAAAAATGATGAGTTCATGTCCTTTGTAGGGACATGGATGAAGCTGGAAACCATCATTCTCAGCAAACTATCGCAAGGACAAAAAACCAAACACCGCATGTTCTCACTCATAGGTGGGAATTGAACAATGAGAACACATGGACACAGGAAGGGGAACATCACAATCTGGGGACTGTTGTGGGGTGGGGGTAGGGGGGAGGGATAGCATTAGGAGACATACCTAATGCTAAATGACGAGTTAATGGGTGCAGCACAACAACATGGCACATGTATACATATGTAACAAACCTGCACATTATGTACATGTACCCTAAAACTTAAAGTATAATAATAATTAAAAAAAAAGGAAACCTCATATTCCAAAAAGCAAAAAAAAGAAGAAAAAATGTTAAAAGCAAACAGCAAGACATGCCATACATGTCAACACAGAGACAAAAAATATTCTGTAATGATGAAAAAAGAACTCCAGCAAATCACTTGTCTGCTTTCCTCAACTTCTAGTACCTCACAAAATTAACAAGCAAGAACTTCATAATGGAACAGTTAACAACAAAATCAATACAATTATGCAATAAGAAACCTTTTCACAAATAATTTGTATACCTTAGCAAAGGGTGATTATCCTTATGGAAAGTTAATTTACTCTTGGAAGAACTAGGTCATCACTATGCATTTGTACCTAGTGCTTAATTTAATAAATTCTAATAAATATAATCATTCAGCGTAGAACATCTATTTAACTTCCTGAAAATAGAGATTTGGATAAAAGATACATGTAAGATAATTTTTTTATTCCTGATCTAACAAAAAATTAGGTTTAGCATTTTTTCATGCTCTTAATATTTTATTTTTTGTGATATTCATGGGAACATGAAATAAAATAATAAGGTTTTGGTGTGACAGAAAAAACTTATTGTCAACATTTGAAATAATTCATGCAAGTGAGATATTAAATACATTTCAAAAGACACATTAATATATTGGTAATTAAAGTAAGGTATAGGATTGAATGATTTCTAAACAGTCACATTATTTTTTTCTATTTTACCAGTTTTTAACATTGTGATGTCTGCTAACTTATAATAATACATTTCTAACTTATTCCAAGTGTGGATCTGTTCTACACACAACACAAATTTTCAATGTTTGTGTGAACTATATACTGTAGCTTTGGGAAATACAATGACTAGTTAAGAAACAAACTGGCATTTGGTGAACAAAACACCATAACCAAAAGCTAAATCACACAAGAGGAAAATTATCTTGAATTCCACATGCCAATCAGTATATTTTCATTTCCAGGCATATTTTTACATTTTTAAAAAGATAAATTTAATTTTATATTGTTTAGATAGTATAGAGATTTTACTACCAAAAAAACACATTTATTACATGATCAATTGGCCACCGTACTTCACTAGCCCATTAATAAATAAAAGACAAAGTATAAAGACTTTACTAAACAGCCTCAAATTTAAGACAGACACGTTAACTTATAATAGCTCAGGGAAAAAATAAAAATAAAATAATAAATCATAACTAAACTAGTAACCTGATGCACAACCTAAATGATAAATATTTGTATGTCTATTTTGGTGTATTTTCCTTGGTATTTAAATACCTTGAATTCAGAAAATATAAACTTGTTTACAGTTTTTCTATTGCCTTTGAAGTATCTACATTTCTAAAGGTTCTTTTATGTTCCAATTCTCTATCTTGATGCCAAGATGGGCTCATGAAAAACCTAGTTGCACAGCTGATGTCCCTGTCGGCTGTTAACATAAAGAGACTGATTTGGAACAGGATGAGGAACCCCAGGAGAAGCCTTGGCAATAATATTCCGATACTGCCCATCCGAATCAGTCACAGCAGACTGGTCAGACCTGATTTAACTCTGAGTGAGTACAAATAATCAATGGAATATATAAATTGAGAATATTTAATATTTTATAACATGTCTACTTTAATTACCAATTTAATTAGATATATAAACATGCAGAGATTTTGTTGATATGTTTTAAACAGCAAAATGAAAACACTAGATGTAGTAAACAATTGCCTTTGCAATATAACTGTATTATGAAAGGTTAAGGTTACTTTTCTGCCATTCACTCATTTCCATGCCCACGTGCATACCATAGTGAAGATCTAACATGCTATTTAGTCCTAATCTGGCCAGTACATTTGTATGGAAATAAAAATTGTGTTTTCTGATTATCTACTTTATTTCCCACAAAGATATGACTTTGGTCACCAGGGCAACCACACAATACAATATGGATGGTTCAGTTTGAAAATATTACCACTAATGGAAAAATGAGGACCCTTTTATTACTGGATAATTAGTGCAATATGACAAAAAACATTATCTCTGTTAACAGATAAAAATAGAGTTCTGTTAGGAGTGTTATGAATGATGAGGTAAACAAATATCACAGAAGTGGTGACACTATAGGTCATTCAACATCATAGATGAAAGAGAGCTCAAGAACTTCTAGATTTTATGTAACATTTTGCAGGTAAGGAAACTAAGACTTTTTTGCAAGGAGAAACTACCAGGTTTGTACAGTTAATAAGTGGCAGTTCTATATTTATGCAAGAAAAAGGGACTAAGAAAAAAGCAAAATATATTATTTATTTACTTATTTACAATATACCAGGAACATCACGTATGTTATCTAATTTAATTCCATCACATACGTTATCTCATTTGATTCACCTAACAATACCATGATGCATTTATCATTGGTCATGTGTTACTGATGAGAAATAGACTTTCAAGAAGAGTTTGGAACAGTTAAACTACTCTCTCATGATTGCATCATTATTAAGGTGTAGATGTTACAAAGTATGATAATTAATTTTGTTTATTAACTTGTCTAGGCAATGCTGTCCATTTGTTTAGTTAAACATTAGATGTTTCTGTGAAGGCATTTTTTAGATGTGAATGACATTTATAATTAGTAACTTTGAGTAAAGCAGATTACCCTCCACAAAGTGGGTGGATCACCCTCCATGGCATGGATTCAAACAGTTGAAGTTCTTAAGAACAAAGACTAAGGTTACTGAAGAGGGAGAAATTCTGCCTCAAAACTTCAACAATGAAACCTTTCCTGAATTTCCAGCATGCTGGCTTGCACCATGGATTTCAGATTTAACTTTTGTCTGAATTTTCAGCCCTACAGACCTCCCCTACTGATATTGGACTTGACAGCCCTCACAGTCATGTAAGCCAGTTCCTAAAATCAGTCTCTCTCATTCTTGTTCTTGCTCTTGCTCTCCCCTGTTAGTCTCTCTATCTACTTTATTGGCTCTGTTGCTATGGAGAAACTTGGATAATACACAATGTGATATAAAATTATTCACAGTCAATATATTGTGAGTACCAACTAATTAGAGTGAATGCTAGTCTTAGTTCGTGGGAGCCTGAAAGGCTGCCTTTTATGTTGGGGCTTTCCTCTTCAGTGTTTGATCATGGGTAGATCGGGTGTTTTGGGAGTTAGGGGGAATTGACCAATTATGAATGAGGACTAAAATATTTTAATATTTTTAACAATAATATGATCAAATTATTAGGCTCCTGGGCTATAGAATGGGAGAAATCTTCTTTGGTTATGTTAATGATACTTATTGGACAAGTTACCACAACTGCTTAGTCTTAATTTCTTCATCTATAAAATGGAGATGTTAATAATATCCATGCTAAATACTGGAATGGACATCCAGTGCCTAACACATTGCCTACTACCTATCAAATAGTAAAATATATCTAATATTGTTTTTACTACCTTTTTTTTTTTTTGAGATGGAGTCTCACCCTGCTGCCCAGACTGGAGTGCAGTGGCACAATCTTGGCTCACTGCAACCTCCGCCTCCCAGGTTCAAGTGATTCTCCTGCCTTAGCTTCCCAAGTAGCTGGTGAACCACCACACCCAGCTAATTTTTGTATTTTTAGTAGAGACGGGGTTTTGCCACGTTGGTCAGGCTGGTCTCGAACTCCTGACCTCAGGTGATTCGCCCGCCTCAGCCTCCCAAAGTGCTGGGTTATAGATGTGAGCCACTGCGCCCAGCTTATTACTAGAATTTAAACTCAGATCTGTAATAATTTGCAAAACTCACATTCTTACAATATGTATGATAGCTGTGAAAAAAACAGAATAAGAAAGAAAGAGACAAGGAAAAAAAAGAAAGAAACAAGAGAGTGACAAGAAAAAATAATTCTCTCTATTAGAATATTTAGGATTTTAAGGTATAATATTGAAACAAACACTCTATACTATAGATTTTATGTTCATTTAAGATGTCTTAGTTTATGTGATCCATTTAGACAGGATTTAATGACCCACAATTATTGAAACATTGAAAGTATGTTACTTTTGCACTTGTCCTGCCTATTTGTGAAAATGAATTTTTTTTAAAGTGGCAATGTTGTTTCTAAAAGTGTCTGCCTTTCTACCCTAGCATGCACTGTGTTAATCTCTGACCATCTTAGGCTCATGCTGATACAGCACCCATTGTATTTTTAACTTTTAAAAAATCTGCTGAGGATCTCTATTTCATGCAGCACATGGATTGAGAGTTAAAGGTCAATTAACTGCATTGTTCATGCCCTGTGGTTTCTTACTGAAGAATGTGAAGATACAATTGGTAGTGAAAACCTATACTGATGAAGCTCAGTGCTCTTATAGTCTAAAGAGCAAGAAAATGATAGTTTGGTCACCCACTCAATAATAATATTATGTTGAAAAGAGACAATAGCGAAATAAGAATTTCAAAGAACACCATCAGTAGACTTCAGCAGGAGAAGGAATAGAAGCATATCTTCATGGTCGCAATGAATTAATTCTAGAATTAATATTAATATTTTTTAAGCATCAGCATTCATCTATAAACCCACAAATTTGTCATTTATTATATAAAATGTGTCTATCGACTTCCTGTTGGTTTTGCCAAGTTCAGAAGTTTCCATTCACATAAAAATTATTTCTCTCTCTCCTTCTCCATCTCTCTTTCTCATACATGCACACACAGTATTTTTTATGTACATCCCTATACATATCCATATATAATTTCCATAAGTATACACATATTCTCCTACAGTCATAGACACAGTTCCCCAGTACATATCCCTACTAAGACAAACACCACCAACATACACATCCCCACCTTGATGCACATGGAAACCAACATGCACATTCCAAACACCAGGCATTTCCTTAAAATACACACTGCCATGCACACACACCCTCATTCACATAGCTCCTGTCCAATTACATATCAAAAATATTTATGAAAAAACCAATATTACAGCATTCAGAGGAAATTCATCAATATTCAGAAAAATATATAAAATTGTAAAATTTAAAATCACATAGCAGGAAATTTTGAGCTATGTGTCTGTAGATAGATTATAGATTCTTTCTCTCAAATACCTGATGAAATAAACTGTCACTTATAAAAGAAAGAAAGATACGGTATTTTTTTAAAACTCCCAAAATATAAACAAACAGACATCACAAAATTAAATGCAAACATTCTCAATCTCTTTAAAAGATACCAGCGATAGCACAAAGACAAGGTGGAAAACTATTGTCATACGTTTTAAAGAAATAGAATAACTCATTGCTATAAAAAACTGAAGGTTTTATTGCAACACAAAAAAGTTCCTAATTCTATTCTCACTTTGCAGAAATAATTATAATAAGTTAAAAAACATTTGAGATTCATCACCAATGTCTAAACGTCTGCAGAGAAGATAAAGAGTTAGTGGAGAGGGATGATTAAAAAATTAGAATTGAAGAACAGAGTCTAACTCTATCTGACAGATTAAAAATTCCAAGGCTTTAAACTCAGTAGACTGAATGATCAGAAATGGAGAGCATTCCTGACTGGAGTAAAATAAATGTCAAGGTTGAGTGAAACTTGTTTTTAGTACATTTAATAAAATCTCGATCTTGTTACAAACACACATACGCATACACACCCACACCCACACTCATAGCTGTACAGTCTCCACTGAGCATCATCTTCAAAATAGAGAAAAATATATTTTATATTTGTTGAGGAGAAGTAATCCACCCTATACTGCAATTGTTACACAGTTGTAATAACTAAGCAATAAATTCAAACCTTGAAAATGGTGTGATTTTATGTGTGTGTCTCTGTGTGCATTTGTGTGTATTTTTTTGAAAAAGATATAAATAATCTAGTTCACAAAAAATTAGCTGAGAAAAAAGATATAATCTCACTAGCATTTTTCACACTAATAACTACTTTAATATGAATAAACTAAATCAATTCAAAAAAGATAACAATAGATTGAGATGAAGAAAAAATTACAGTGTTAATAAATGGTTTAAAATTATACCATTGCAGAACTAATAAGTAACAAATAGAATGACAAGCTGAAAATTAAACTACTGACAAAGGGGAAAAGTTTGAAAAATAATCAAAGTGAGTGCAAAACAGAAAAGATCAAACAACTATTGAGAAGATCTCCACATAAAATTATTGTTATTATTTAGGTAAAAATTCTAACAAATGGATCAGAAACCTGTTGAAATACTTCAAGAACAATTTTCTGAAAAGAACAAAACGAAGAATATTTTTGGGAAAAGAAAACCATATTTTAGAAATGTTAGATATAAATGACAATACAACACATTTACATTAAAATATTGAATAACAAGTATAAATAAGTTTTTATTATTCAGGAAAAAACTAAATTTCATTAAAAAGAAAGATTTAAACCATCTTGAAAGTTTTTCAAAGTTAGAATCAAAACTAAAAGTTAGTAGACAATGTCTACGAATTTGTAGAGGAATGAAATAATACTCTAAATATGTTACACCCAGTCAGGACATTGTTTTTGTATAAAGTAAACAAAAGAAAATAAAAACAATAAAAACTAATGTAATTCCCATGAGTTTTAGGGACACATGTCCCCATATACACCCCTAAACACACACACTGCGCCAATTGCAAAACTAGGATGAATAATAAACTCAAGTAGTATTAGAAAAACCATGGTTAAAAGATGAAAAGTAAATTTGAATCCAACTAAATAAGAATAAAACCTGGAAATTATGATCACAAAATTGAACTTAATTGTTGTAAACTGTTACTTTTTTAAAAAAATAAAGTGATTTATAAAATTGGAAAGTGGGAAAAAGTAATCAATTATTATTACAATATTCCTTTGAACGAGTCAATCTAAACTATGTAAATTAAAATGTAGTCAAAAATATAATAGAGTGATGATGTCAGCAAAATGGAAGAATAGGAGATCCCCTGCTCATACGCCACTACAGCAATAATTCGGCAGCCATTCATGAATGAAAATGCCTTTGTGGAAGCTTTGGAATCGAGATACAAGGCTGCAAAACTTTGGTGATATACAAAATAGAGGAGGGTCACTTTGAGAAAGCAAGTCGATACCCTGGCTACCAACTGTAGTCCTGGCTACAGACCCAAAACAGTCCCATCTCATTGTGGAGGGCCAATGAATGAGTTACTTACACACATGCTCTGGGAAACCGTCGTGTTAAACTCAGCCCTGGCTCCAACCCCTTTCAATCATAACCTAGGAACAGCCTTTCCCACCTAGGAACATGCTAGAATACATACTTGTCCAAGTATTCTACATACTTGTGCAAGTATGTAGAATACATACTTGAAGGAGGTTCACCTAACTTAGTCGAACGACAGTACTTGACGAGGTCCTGTAACCCAGTTCCAGCCCCTGCCAGCTAGAGTCTAGGTCTGGGATCAGTCCTGTCCACCTAGTGATATGGTTTGACTCTATGTCCCCACCCAAATATCACCTTGAATTGTAATCACCATAATCCCCATGTGTCAAAGGAGAGACTAGATGGAGATAATTGAATCATGGGTGCAGTTTCCCACATGTGGTTCTCGTGATAGTAAGTGAGTCTCATGAGATCTGATGGTTTTAGAAAAGGCAGTTCCCCTGCACTCGCTTACATGCTTTCCCACCTGCCATTATGCAAGAGGTGCCTTTGCTTCTCCTTCATCTTCTGCCATGATTGTAAATTTTCTGAAGCCTCCCCAGCAATGGAGAACTGTGAGTCCATTAAACCTCTTTTCTTTATAAATTACCCAGTCTCGAGTATTTCTTCATAGCAGTATGAGAACAGACTAATAAGCCTAGAAACACACCAGGAGACATGCTTATTTGTGTCACTAGAGGCAGACCCACCTAACTGGGTACCACAGCAGATTCTCAAATGGCCATGTAACCCAGATACAAACCTACGCAGCTGCAGTCTAGGAGTACATCTTCCCACCCTCTAGGAGGTATGTCGCTTTGTGTACCTAGAGGCAGGCCTGTCAATCTTGATCTTAGTGCAGATCCTGAAGCAGCCCTGTAACTTGGCGCCAGCCCCTCTCAGCTGCAATCTGGAAGCAGTTCTGCCTGGCCAGAAATCTATCCACTGACTCAATAGGAAACCTCATAGGGACCAGACAGGATTCATGCCCACTCTGGTAATATGTCTGGCAACTATGGATTCCATTGCAGACTACACAGAGGCCCTGTGACTCAGCTCTAATCCCACTCAACTGGGATTGTAGAGGCACTCCTGTCACCCTGAGAATCCAACAAGAAGTGGTCTTTAACTGCTAAAACCAGTCTGTAAAGGCTAAAAGAGGTTTACTTCTTCAAATGCACAAACATCAATACAAGGCTGTAAGAATTACAAAAATACAGGCAAACATGATACCACCAATAGAAACTAATAAAACTCCTATAATTGACCACAAATATATAGAGATCTATGAACTTTCCAACAAAGAGTTCCAAATAATTACTTTAAGGACACAGATAAATAGTTAAACAAAATCTGAAGAAAAAACAATCCATAAGAAATAGAAGTTTAATAAAGAAATAGAAACCATAAAAAGAGATTCAAATAGAAATCTTGAATATCTGAAGCTGAAGAATACAATAAAAGAATTGAAAACAAGTAATGAAGATCTCAAATAGATTTTATTATGCAAAATAAAGAATTTGTAATCTTGAAAACTGGTCATTTAAAATTAGCCAGTTGAAGAAATAAAGGAAAAACTGTAAAGAAAATTTAGAGGATCCATGGACAGCATCAAGCACACAAAGTATGCATTATGAAAGTTCCAGAAAAAGGAGAGAGAGAAGGGTAGAAAGCATATTTTAAGAAATAATGACTGATAACATCCCAAATTTTGGGAAAGATATAGACATTAAGATTCATTAAGCTCAAAAGACTCTAGGCAAGATAAACCCAAGAAAGATCATCAAGAGACACATTACAATCAAATTGCCAAATGTTAGACCAAACAGTGAATTTAGAAAGCAGCAAATAAATAAGCAACTCATCACATACAAGGGAAACAGCATAAGGTTATCAGCGTATTTCTCAGCAGAAGCCTTGCAGGTCATGAAAGAGTGGAATTACATATTCAAAGTGCTGAAGGAAAAAAAAAATCTTGCCAACCAACATTATACCTAGCAAAGATGTCCTTCAGAAATAAAAGGAAGATAAAAACATCCTCAGACCAAACACACTATCAAACAAACAAAAAAAACACACATGAACACACACACAATTAAAGGAGTTTATTACTATTGTACTTGCCTTATAATAAATGCCAAAAGAATTCTC